>NW_003871091.1:0-278131 GCF_000001405.40 Homo sapiens | reverse complement strand
GAATTCTGCTGTGAATCTGCCTAGTCCTGGACTTTTTTTTGTTGGTAATTTTTTAATTACCATTCAATCTCACTGGTTGTTATTGGTCTGTTCAGGGTATCTAATTCTTCTCGATTTAAGTTAAGAGGGTTGTATTTTTCCCTGAATTTATCCATCTCTTCTAGGTTTTCTAGTTTATGTGCATAAAGGTGTTCATAGTAGCCTTGAATGATCTTTTGTATTTGTGTGGTGTCAGTTGTAATAGCTCCCATTTCATTTCTTAGTGAGGTTATTTAGATTTTTTCTCCCTTTTCTTGGTTAATCTTGCTAATGGAACATCATTCAAAGCTGACCAAAGTATTTTTTTTAACTCCTGTCAATATGAACCTGTGGGTTCCAGTTCATATCCCCATTGGTGCTCAAATAACAAACTTCAAGTTGGTCTCTGGCTACTTTTGACGTGAATCTAGTAGATTTTTTTTAATATATATATAATAAGATATTCCAGGTTCATTTGTATATTTCCTTACCCACACTTATATTCAGCCATTTCTCCAAGGAACCCCTGTTCCTTGTAGTGAATATGGCATTTGGGACGAAAGATTGAAATGTAAAAATGATGAGTATTACTAAATTGATTATTTTCTCTCAACTTTTTCAGTGTCCACAACTAGAAAATATTTGCTTAAAAGATAAAGTACATCAGCGTTTCTACTGATAATTACAGGATTTTTACTTAACCTCATATCTTTTTCCTAAATCTCTTTTATTCCTTGCCAAAAATAACAGTTCCTTGATGTAATTACTCATTTTCTTTATTACCTAATGCTTGCACAACAATCTTGGAATAATATTGCCAATACTAATAACAACAGTGTAGTTATTGCAAACAAACTTAACAGGTTTTTGAAAAAAACATTTTGGCCTTGGGATAGTTACTTTCTCTGAAGTTATGCCTGGATATACAGTTAGATTCCATTGTTGTGGTGGTGGTTTTAGTGATTTTGAGAGATTTTAAAAATTTAATATTTTTATAAGTATGTAAAATATTTACATGGGTGCAAAGTCCAAGCTACAGAAAAAGATACATTCAAAAATAATCTAGTGTCTGTTTCTATCTTCTCTATTCTATTCCCTCCATCCTCTATGGGTCAATTTTTAAAAAACAAACATGGGCTGGGTGCGGTGGCTCACGCCTGTAATCTCAGCACTTTTGCGAGGCTGAGGCAGGGAATCATGAGGTCAGGTGTTCAAGACCAGCCTGGCCAAGATGGTGAAACCCCATGTCTATTAAAAATACAAAAATTAACTGGGTGTGGTGGTGGGCGCCTGTAATCCCAGTTACTCAGGAGGCTGAGGCAGAGAATTGCTTGAACACAGGAGGTGGAAGTTGCAGTGAGCCAAGATCGCTCCACTGCACTCCAGCCTGGGTGACAACGTGAGACTCCGTCTCAAACAACAACAACAACAACAACAACAACAACAAAACCAAATGTGGTTGATTCTTCCATTATTTTTTTCTTTTTTTTTCAGCTACATTAAATTACAATTGACATATAATAAATAAACTGCATGTACTTAAAATGCACAATTTGATGTTTTGACAGAAGTCCCTCTTTCCTGTTTTCTCATCTCCTCTCTCTCTATTCTTCTGTCGTTTTTTAAAGTGTAAGCAAATATACTTTCAATATTTATATCCTGGATTTTTAAAACATTGTTGCAGAACAATTGTACACATTTTCCTCCACTGCTTTATCGTCTCCTAACAATATCTACTGGAGATTAATTTATAGTAGCCTATAGAGACACTCCTTATTCCTTTTGACAGCTGCATAGTACTCCATCATGGGAAGGCACCACAGTTTATACACCAGTACCCTATTGAAGGACACCTGGGTTGTATCCAGTGTTGTTGTAGTTTTTAGTTTTTTTCCCAAATAGAACTCTTATGAATCGTCTTGTGCAATATCTTTCATATATTTACCTGAGTATCTTTGAGATATTTTATGGAATTGGGATAGCTGAGTCAAAGAATAATGCTGCTAGTTATTGCCAAACCTTCACAAGACAAATACGAGCATGCCTATTTTCACATCATCTCACTTCCAGAGAATGCTATCAGATTTTGAATTTTTGATAATCTAACAGGTGAGAAGTATCGTACCATATTATTTCATTTCTCTTACTATGCATGAGATTGAGTATATTTATATGGTGGTAAAATATTTGCATTTTATTTTCCCATTAGGCTGTTGGTCTGTTTTCTATCTATTTCCAGAAGCCTTTTTTTCTTCTTCTTCTGTCACCCAGGCTGGAGTGCAGTGGTGCAATCTTGGCTCACTGCAACCTCCGCCTCCTGGGCTCAGGCAATCCTCCCACCTTAGCTTCCTGAGTAGCTGGGACCACAGACCACAGATGCATGCCACCTCGCCATTTTTTTTTTTTTTTTGCTTTTTTTTGTTTTTTTGGTAGAGATGGGGTTTTGCCAAGTTAACCAAGTTGGTCTCAAATTCCTAACCTCAAACAATCCGCCTGCCTTGGCATCCCAAAGTGCTGGGATTACAGGTGTGAGCCACCGTGTCCAGTCTCAGAAGTCTTTTATATACTATTAACCCTTTGTCCGTGATATTAATTGCTAGTTCTTTTTTTATTATTTAGTCATTTGTGTTTTTACTTTGTTTATGATGGTTTCTTACCATACATTTTTTTTTTTTAATTTTACTTTAAGTTTTGGGATACATGTGCAGAACATGCAGGTCTGTTACATAGTTATACATATGCCATGATGGTTTGCTGCACCTATCAATCCGTCATCTGGGTTTTAAGCCCGACATGCATCAGGTATTTGTCCTAATGCTCTCCCTCCCCTTGTCCCTCACCCCCGACAGGCTCCAGTGTGTGATGTTCCCCTCCCTGTGTCCATGTGATCTCATTGTTCAACTCCCACTTAGGAGTGAGAACATACCTTGCATCTTTTTAATTATAAATAATTGTTTTTAAATATCAGGAGGGATTTAATTGCAAAATGTTCATGCGCAAAATGTTCCTTGAACACTCTAGGAGAGACGCCCTTTCCCTGTTACAGACTGTGTGACTTCAATCTATCTGGGCCTCAAGTACCTTGGATGTAAAGAATTTAGAAAAATTGTGTCTACATAGCAGAATCCTTGTGAAGTATAAACAAGATAACAATTATAGAGGACTCAGAAAATTCCTGACACATAGTAAGCACTCAAAAAATTATAACTATTAGTATTGTTTCATCTTTCATTGGAAGTGTACAGATTAAATACATAATTGTTATTTTGTTCACTAATCACACCATTCTCTAAATAGTTGCTAAATTCTTTCCTATACATGTTTCTTATTTGTCTTGTTTAAGCTTCTGTAGGACAGAAATTAAACTTGATCCTTTGTTTCTTTTCTCCATGTATCAAGCAAAATATCTCCAACATACATTGTGAGAAAAAGCAGCTTTCGAGTATGAGAAAATCTACTTTCAATAACACTTCAGTTAAACACATTCAGTGGGTATCTTGACTTACCAACAAAATAGAACAAAAATGTTCCTTATGATCCCCATCTCTGAAGAACATGCCAACAATAATTTATAAAGGGACCTATCATGCCAATGTATTTTTACTTGTAAAGCAATGAATCATTGCATTATATCTGTTTCAAGCTAAATAGAGTCAATAACATGAAACAGGAATTTCAGTGGGATCTTTTATATCTCACTGACCAGCCACAAAATTCAAAGGAATCACAGTGTTCCTTATTATACACAAGTTACCTCCTATCACCCCCCAAAGATGAATCTTTCATCACATTTTCCTACCAGCATTCTATGTAATTTATTTTTAACCTCTTTGAGAGCAGAGGAGATTTAGTCATCATAAAATCTATTTTCAACTTATTATCCAGGAGTCAAATAAATAAAGAATTAATCAAACAATGTCATGTAATGGGTCTACACATCAGAAGACACATCAGATGAAGGAAGGAGAATGAGAGCTGATTCACTTGGCTTAACCAAATTGGATAGCTCAGAATACAACAGGAAAAGGAAATGTTGCCTTTTCTATTTATAGAAATATTTACCAGATAAGGACAACTATCTAATTTACTAAAAAACAACTGATTCTCTATTAGTAATGTGCAAACCACAAGATTATTCACATGGTCATAGTGGTTCTCAGCAGGGTATAAAAAGCAAAAGAGAGAACAAGGAGAGATCAAACTCAGAACACTCACTCTCCTGGAAACCCACCGAGAACCTCCACCCTCTGACACCATGGTCAACTCCTGTTGTGGCTCTGTGTGCTCTGACCAGGGCTGTGGCCTGGAGAACTGCTGCCGCCCCAGCTGCTGCCAGACCACCTGCTGCAGGACCACCTGCTGCCGCCCCAGCTGCTGTGTGTCCAGCTGCTGCAGGCCCCAGTGCTGCCAGTCTGTGTGCTGTCAGCCCACCTGCTGCCGCCCCAGCTGCTGTCAGACCACCTGCTGTAGGACCACCTGCTGCCGCCCCAGCTGCTGTGTGTCCAGCTGCTGCAGACCCCAGTGCTGCCAGTCTGTGTGCTGCCAGCCCACCTGCTGCCGCCCCAGCTGCTGTCAGACCACCTGCTGCAGGACCACTTGCTGCCGCCCCAGCTGCTGTGTGTCCAGCTGCTGCAGACCCCAGTGCTGCCAGTCTGTGTGCTGCCAGCCCACCTGCTGCCGCCCCAGCTGCTGCATCTCCAGCAGCTGCTGCCCCTCTTGCTGTGAATCCAGCTGCTGCCGCCCCTGCTGCTGCCTGCGTCCAGTCTGTGGCCGAGTCTCCTGCCACACCACTTGCTATCGCCCAACCTGTGTCATCTCCACCTGCCCCCGCCCCTTGTGCTGTGCCTCCTCTTGCTGCTAAATCTCTGCTGTGAACACACCACTTCCTTATTACGTCCTTTCCTACAGATGAAGGCTCTCATTGCAAACATGCGGACTGTTCAAGAGAATTGATCTGGGTCCCATAAGCAAACCTCATCCTTAGAAATTCTGTATTTGCATTCTACCTTTTGTCCAAACTCCCTTCCTTCCAAAGGAATTCATTGACAATCTCCTAATAAATTGACAAATTGTCCTCCAACATCCTCCCACCTCTTTGACTTCAGGACATTTATTCATCATGCCTAAGGAATTTGAAGATTGCCTCCATCATTTGTAGGGCCACAGATCTTAAAGCCTCCAACCTTGAAGTCCAGTGAAGTCTCTCTCTTAAAGTCTTTTGCAAACATTTTTGTACCTTGTTATTTCCATGTACCAAAATAAACCTCTATTCTATTGGCACTGAAAATTGAATATGATTCTTATTCTCTTTTTAAAAAGGGTTTTATATTTAGGTCCTGGGTGATTACATTTAACTACACCTGTAGGGCTCACAGCACAGATTAGTCAACCTTCTAACAGAGGTCAACTGACATCGATCACTGCCTAGTTTTTTTCTAGAAAAGTCTTTTCAGGCTTAGGCAAATCAATTAGTCATTTTGTATTCTTTAGACAAAAAGAGTGAAGCTGAAGTCATGAAATATCCATGAATATAACAACAGGGGAAACATTTTGAAAGATTGATCACAACTCATCATCTTTTAAAAAATAATTTCAACTTTTATTTTAGAATCAAAGAGTACATATTCGTATTTGTTACATGTTGTGTGATGCTGAGGTTTGGGCTACAAATGATTCTGTCACCAGGTACTGAGCAGTGGGTCATTTTTAGCCCTTCCTCTCTCCCTCTCTCCCCCCTTTTTGGAGTCCCCAGTTGTTCTCATCTTTGTGTCCATGTGTATCCAATGTTTAGCTCCCATTTGTAAGTGACAACATGCAATATTTGGTTTTCTGTTCCTGGAAAAATTTGCTTAAGATAATGTCCTCCAGCCACATCCATGTTGCTGCAAAGGACAAAATTTCATTCTTTTTTATGGCTGTGTAGTATTCCATGGTGTGAAAATGTCACATGTTCTTTATCCAATGCACTGTTGATGGGCACCTAGACTGATTCCATGTCTTTACTATTGTGCACAGAGCTGTGATCTTTTAAAACACTGTATTTCAATTTCTTTTTTTTTCCAGTAAAAGCAGCTATTAGGTGGTTTAGCAAAGTCCATGTATTTTCTACTGAGTCATGTGTAATGAATCCTCAACACAAACACAGTGGATCTCCTTCATTCTGACTGGCAGAGTTTCAATGGGGAGTTCATGCTGCCATGTAGAGAGGGCCACCTTCACGGCCAGGCAGGTGATGGAAATGAAGGAAGCAGGCCTAGTGAAAACTCACAGGTATGCTGGAGACTGATTTTTTTTCTTTTCGTCCAAAGTCATGCCCTTTTTTTAGGATGAAACTATAAAGACCCACATTTCTCCCCAACTAGGGATGCCTCTAATGGGTCATCTCATCTCCAGAACTCCCTATAGGTTCATCTGAGACTTCCACGGAGATTGCCCTGCAGTTTGATTTATCCCAGTGTCAAACTTGATCTTTCTCTCACTTTCCCTTCCTTTCCCTTCCCTTCCCTTCCCTTCCCTTCCCTTCCCTTCCCTTCCCTTTCCCTCCCCTTCCCCTTCCCTTTCCCTTTCCCCTCCCCTCCCTTTCCCCTCCCCTGCCCTCCCCAGTGTTAATCCCAAGAGCATGCTTCAATAAACCTCCTGCATATTGCTCTCCATCTCAGTGACTGCTTCCTGGGGAACCCAGCCTGTCCCCCAAAACAATTTGAAATTCATGATAGCTAATTTGAGAGCTCAAATGACTGACTGAAATGTACTTTTAATATTTTAGTTCCTGAAAGAAATAAGAATGTAAACATAATAGCAGAAAATATATTTAACAGAATATGTAGAAAAATTATGAATTTTATATAAATCACATTTATTATTTTCTAAGGATGTTTAGATCATTTATACACAAATATATGCTCTTTAAACATTTAGACAATACAAAAGAATGTGACAATGTGAACAAAAGTAAGTTTCCCATCATGATCTTTGCCAATCCCATTCAATACCTAATGTTGCAAATTGAGATACATCCTCATTAAATGCATGCATAAAACATGTATGTATTTATTTGAAAACTTGGCTTTCGTTGCACATCTCTTGTTCTGACATTTATTCAAACATTATTTTATGTCCTTCCGGAAATGTTAACATTTTCCTTCACAAAGGCTTGGCAGATTTATTTACATATTTTTCTATTTACTCTTGAGAACTGTGAGTACATGCTTCTTTTTTTTTTTATTATACTTTAAGTTCTAGGGTACATGTGCACAACGTGCAGGTTTGTTACATATGTATACATGTGCCATGTTGGTGTGCTGCACCCATTAACTCGTCATTTACATTAGGTATTTCTCCTAATGCTATCCCTCCTCCCTCCCCCCACCCCACGACAGGCCCCAGTGTGTGATTTTTCTCCATTAAATTTTAGAGAGAATTATTGCTAGTGTATAAAAAGTCTATGGATTAGTATAAGTTCATATTTTATCTGATCTCGCGATTCACACTAATACCCAGCTGACTCTACAGGATTTTACAGGTGTGCAATCATGGTGGCCAAGTGCCTCCAGCCTCAGGCTTGTCCCTGGGGTTCGTCCCCAGCTGCCCACAGTGGGGGCCTTACCATTAACACAAACACTGTTGGGATTTTCTACCTTTCCTGTCTTACTTTCACCGTTTCCTCACTTGTGCTTCCTGGGATCATCCCCCAAATAAATTATGTGCACTCAGGTCTTTTTCTCAAGGTTTGCATTGGGTAGAATTTAAGCTAAGACAACAGATTATCAGCAAACATTTTTGGCTGACTGATACGAAACAGGAAATAATAGTTATTTCAATCAACAAGAGTAAAACGAGGAAGTCAGGAGGTGAAGGAGAACCAGTGCTACCATCTGGCGTTTACTTCCTTCCTGTCTTTTTACTGTGTGAATATAGGCATGCACGTTCAACACTGTATTCTTGGTTATCTATAAACAAGTCTCATTCTATAAATTGAATCTTGACTTCCGCAGTTTCCACGTATGTTATTTATCAGGTGACATGTTACCTATCACACAAATGAGTTTAGTCTTCCTGAAATGAAATTATGATTTCTTTGTTTGGGATGTTTTCCTCCCTTTTATCCAGAAGTCAAAAGATATATACATTTTTTAAAGGACCTTACATGCCTCTATGTCATCAAAAAAACCTTCATTCACTCAACAAACATTTACCACCAGTGTTCTCTGTGCTGAGTATCATGGTAACGAGAATAAATGCCATAGCGCAAGCCTTCAGGGTATTTGCATTGCACGTGGTGGAAAGACAGAAGTAAATGACTATGATACAGGAGAATGTATAAATTATGAGCACAAGGCAGGAAATCATGATACATGAATGGGGTAGCTTAGCAGGAAAGATATTATTGAGGAGGAAATATTTTAACTGGGTCTTGACACATGAGTAGGAGTTTGCAGAGTGGACAAAAAAAGATGAAACATTCCAAGAAGATGAAGCAGTTTCAGCAAGCTTAGCAAATTGTATTCTTTACGGCTTTCTTGGCTACACTAAGACATATTAGGCTTACTTTCTCTTTAACCTTGGACAAGTTGTTTGTTTGTTTGTTTTAAGTTTTTAATGCTTCTTTTGAGTATTCCCCTAAAAGACTAATAAGAATATAAACTAGTTCATAAGGTTCTATTAAAGCGTGAAAATGAAACAAATGTAAGATATTTGGTACAATGCCTGCTACATAGTCAATACTTCACAAGTAATATACATACCATGAGGGTGTATGGAACTTATCCACATATTATACATTTTTTATTTTAGTTGTTTAATGAAAATAATTGTAATTCTTTTCATTTCTGCCAAACTGTTTCCTATCCATGTGTCTTATGCAAGTACCTGCAAGAAAAAGTTGAGGGTTTATCTGTTCTACACCCAGAGTACCCAATAGAACATCTTGGATGCATGTTATTGAAGGCTTAATAATTCTAAATATTCTTTATATATAACAAATGCTTTTGTAAATGAAAAATCCATCATGCAATTTTGATGATCAAAGATTAATCAGGCTGGGTGTTGGGGGCTCATGCCTGCAATCCCAACACTTTGGGAAGCCAAGGCAGGTGGATCACGGGGTCAAGAGATCGAGACCATCTTGGCCAACATGATGAAACCCTGTCTCTACTAAAAATACAAAAGTAAGCTGGGTGTGATGGCGCAAACCACCTTACTCGGGAGGCTGAGGCAAAAGAATCGTTTGAACCCAGGAGGTGGAGGTTGCAGTGAGCAGAGATCATGCCACTGTACTCCAGCCTGGCGACAGATTGAGAATCTGTCAAAAAAAAAAAAAAAAGATAAATCAAAACTTCCTACTCATAATGCATATACTGTAAGACATACAGCAAAATGTGTTTTTACCCTTTAAAGGCAGTGAGTCATGGGTAAGTACTTTCGCTGGAGGCTGTGGAATAAGATCTGACAGAGTTTAGAACTTCTTGGGATCTGACCATCTGCCCGACCATCCGAGATGCACACATGGGATCAGAGTCATCCTCATTACAGATGGGACATCCTTCCCCAAATGAGTGCTTCCTTCTAATTCCTTCCCAACATTTCACCTGACCAGGACATTCTTTGACAACAAAAGATACATTCACATTATAAAAATCATCCCCCATGATTTGCAGACAGCAATCTGCAGGTAGGAGGGAGAGTCACATTTAAAAACAAAATGTCAGAGAGTCCTGTGACCAGTGCTTTGTAAAAGACACTGCATAGACCAGGGACAAAGGTGACTCCCCACTAATGAAGAAATATGACATGCATTTCCAATGGAAACACAGGAGCACAGCAGGAAAAGGAAATGGGTTATTTTCTCTGTTTTGGAGTATTTAACTGGAAACACAATGATGTAATTACATGATTAATTTTTCCAGTAGGTAAATAATAACAAGGAAATAATGATGTGGTGGCAATGGGCCTTCAGGAGGGTATAAAGGGACTACAGGCCCAGGAGACTTCCAAACACAAGAACTTCACTCTCCTAGAAACCCAACTAGATCCTTCACCCTCTGACACCATGGTAAACTCCTGTTGTGGCTCCGTGTGCTCTCACCAAGGCTGTGGCCAAGACCTCTGCCAGGAGACCTGCTGCCGCCCCAGCTGCTGTGAGACCACCTGCTGCAGGACCACCTACTGTCGCCCCAGCTGCTGTGTGTCCAGCTGCTGCAGGCCCCAGTGCTGCCAGTCTGTGTGCTGCCAGCCCACCTGCTGCCGCCCCAGATGCTGCATCTCCAGCTGCTGTCGCCCCAGCTGCTGTGTGTCCAGCTGCTGCAAGCCCCAGTGCTGCCAGTCTATGTGCTGCCAGCCCACTTGCTGCCGCCCCAGATGCTGCATCTCCAGCTGCTGTCGCCCCAGCTGCTGTGTGTCCAGCTGCTGCAGACCCCAGTGCTGCCAGTCTGTGTGCTGCCAGCCCACCTGCTGCCACCCCAGCTGCAGCATCTCCAGCTGCTGCCGCCCCTCTTGCTGTGAATCCAGCTGCTGCCGCCCCTGCTGCTGCCTGCGTCCAGTCTGTGGCGGAGTCTCCTGCCACACCACTTGCTATCGCCCAACCTGTGTCATCTCCAGCTGCCCCCGCCCCTTGTGCTGTGCCTCCTCTTGCTGCTGAGCCCACTGCCCTGGCTCATCTCTCCCTTCACTGCAGGCCCACAGTTGTAGACCATTCTTCTGTGCTGACTATTAGGACACATGGAGTGGGATTGATGTCATTCAGCAGGGTGGACTTCATGTTTCCAATGAGCCCATCACCATCCCACTGACTCTGTGAGAACATTCTGGTTCATTTTAAACTCCCTCCCTTGCTTTCTTTCTCTTCCAGTCATGGCACCAAATATGAAATAATTTGTAATCCACTAGCTAAGAAATTATTCCAATCCTCTAAATTCCTCATTTTTTAAATCGTTTTGAGCCTACAGAATATCCTTCCCAGTGAGGTACACATTATCTCCATTTCAAACATATTATTTGTCTGTCAGCCTTTCAGTCATTCTTTTCTCTTGGAAAGGTAGGAGGCTGCCCCTCCCATGCTCTCCTGCTTTCTCCCTGTTCTCTCTTTGTCTCTGTTTGTTCAAGTTTGCCAGAATTTTTCTATTTTATTGGTTCTTTATCTTTATTGTGTTCACAAAATATATTGTATTAAACTTTTCATTTAGAAATCTTTTATTGTTTTTTGCATTTTTTTGTGATAATTTTCACTGAGTTTACTGATTCATGGGGGTGAGGTGGGAATGCAGTAGAAGGGGATTCTCAAAGCATGATTCCAAAGTAAGACTTCAAGGATGAACTCATAGTGCCAAACTGCTCCAATGTCACGCATAAACTAAAATAAAATAGAAGCTTTTGATTGTTTCAATTTGATATATGGAATGCTTTGGGATAGGTAAAGCCCCAGTATTGTTGTTTGTAAGTTCATCCATGATTTTAGAACTTATGATATCATGGTAATACTCCTCACTCTTCTGTGTCAAATTTAAAAGGCACATCTCATCCTACTGCATTCCATCTTGATTCAAATCAGTTAAGGCAGACTCCAAATGTTATATAAGGGAATTTTGTTATTTTGTTGTCGGTGGACCAGTTCAGGTTCTTGAATTTGCTGTGCAAAAGAATTTGAGAGCAAATCCAAAGTAAGAGTAAGCGAAGAAATTTGTTGCAAAGCAAAAGTACTCTTTGAGAGGCAGAGTGGGGTGCTCAGTGGGAGAGACAGCAGCTAGTGCTGTAAGAGGAATTCCTTTTATGGGAGCTATACGTACATAATCATAAAATACTGGTGAGGTCAAGTATGCAAAGGCAGACCTGCGGTTGGCACATGTGCTCAGGATCCACGTGGTCTAACACCCATCGCATGTATCATTAGCATATGAAATCTCCGCCTTGGGGTGTTTTTCTTGTTGTGGTTGTTTTTACTATTAAAATGAGGAAATGGTTACTATAAGCTGAACCTTGATCCTAGCTGTGCATGCAGGACCCCAGAGAAGTCCCTGCCCACCCTCCCAAACACCCCACCCCAGGAAGGAATTTGTAGTTAGGAGTTTCTTGGGCTTTTGGTGCAAATTGGCTAGAGATTGGGGAAGCTGCATCAGGAATAAAGGGCTTTTGCTCTCTTTCCCAGGTTGTACTAGGTATCAGGAACTTGTAACCCTCTGGTGGGTCTGCTTCGATTCTGTAGGACCCCTTATCTTGTGAAAGAGTTAGGCACTGATGCACAAAGGTTCAAGTGAAAAGAGCTTGCTGTGAAAGGATCCTGCTGGGCTTCACACAGGGGACAAGTCAGTATGGCCTTGTGAACCCCCAAAATCGGAGACAGGTCTCAGTTTATTTAGAAAGTTTATTTTGCCAAGGTTGGGGATGTACACCTGTGACACAGCCTCAGGAGGTTCTGAAGACATGTGCCCAAAGTGGTCAGAGCACAGCTTGGTTTTATACATTTTAGGGAGACATGAGACATCAATCAACATATGTAAGATGAACAGTGGTTCCGTCCGGAAAAGGCGGGACAAGTCTAAGCGGGGAGGGGCTTCCAGGTCATAGGTAGATAAGAGACAAATGGTTGCTTTCTTTAGAGTTTCTGATTAGCCTTTCCAAAGGAGGCAATCAGATATGCATTTAACTCAGTGAGCAGAGGGGTGACTGTGAATAGAATGGGAGGCAGGTTTGCCCTAAGCAGTTCCCAGCTTGACTTTCCCCTTTACCTTAGTGATTTCAGGGCCCCAAGGTTTATTTTCCTTTCAAATTTCCCCCCTTTTCTTAAAAATCTTTTTGAGAAAGCCTTTTTGAAGAAAGTCAGTCTTTGGTCTCAAGTTTCATCTGATATCTCATGGCTAGGATTGTTTATTCCTAGAAAGATAATTCCTGAGTTATTAGGAAAGTTCATTTTTAGCAGGTTGTGAAGTTTCATGTCCTATGAAGAGAAAATAGGGGGAGGAAGGGAGAAAAACAAAAATAAACAAAAGAACAATCCTGGAAAATCAATATGGGCCACATTACTCTGAAGTCCATACATCAGTAGGCAGGTATGAAAGTGGCTTATGTATGTAAACAGGTTGCTGGTATTTTCTTCTGAAGTTTAAATTCTCTAGCTCCAGTTCGCAGGGCTTTTACAAAAGCACAGATGAGTTTTCAGTGACTCCAAATTAGGAAAAATGGGGGAAAGAAGAAGAAAAAAAAACTGAAAACAATCTTTTGAAGACCTGTAGCCAAGAAAAATTAGAATTCAGTCGAAACTGTAGAAAATAATAAAAATGTGAAAACATTAGGCAAGACTAGAATCTAACAACAGGTGTATTATCATTTTTTGAAACATAATTCTTCTCTCTCCCATTTCCCATTTTTACTAAAGACAAATCATGGCAGGGCTGATTTTCTTTATTATACTTGACCTGATTATTTGTATACAGCGCAGCCATAGTAATACTTTTTTTTTGCATAAGCTTTTAAATTGCCTTTGATGGAACTGAAGCAGGATGTTTCCCTGACCCCTTTGTGGGACTTGTGACGGGTGCCTCGTTTATTCAGCCTGCCACTCTCAACTCCTTGCAGGAGCGAGCATGCAAGCAAATGAGGCAGGAACTGGAGTGCACTGTGCTGGAATCGGCACTGCAGCACGGTAGGATCAAACTTCACTCACTGGGACCTGCTGCAGTCCCCTGCTTGTGGGAGGAAGCATGCAGGTGAATCAGTGCAGGAGCCAAAGTGAGTGCTTTTGGCCACCGGCAGGAGCAAACTCTGTGTGGGCCCCACAGCAGCATCTAGGTGGGGGTGCCTGCGACCCCCATAGCCCCAGAGGGCATGTTACAGTGTTCTTTTAACTCTGCCTTCCATGGATGGCTTAAGTGTCAACAGCTCAGTGAGGCCTCTGCCTTTTTGTGTGAGGCAGCTGCCCTCCACCAGCAAGGGCAGAGGGCCAGTGTGACAGTCTTTTGTATCTGCTCTCCTGGCTCCCAAGCTCTTGTCTTGTGTCCAGGAAAAGTGAGGTCACATGAACCAATCAAAGGATGGTAAATGTGGGGGATTTTGTTGCTGATGAAAGTGGCTCTTAGCAGAAAGGGGAGCTGAAAAAGGATGGGGTGGGTAGGTAATCTTCCTCAAAGTTAGGCTGTATCCAGCTGGATTCTTCTCCAAGATTACACCATCAAGCTGTCCCTCTGAATCAAGCTGCTTCTCTCTGACGTCCAGCTGTAGTTCCCAATGTCCAGCTGCTTCTTGCCTCTGCCAGCTGAGTCTGGCATCTTCACAGGCATAGGATGGACAGGATGGAGCCATGAGTGGTTTAGAAAAAGGCAACTTTCAAGCAGGAAAACAGGGATATAAGTTCTCACTTTGGGCCGTGGTTTAAGGCTTTTCAGCTTGAAGGTGGGGTTTTGTCAGAGACCTACCCTTTTCTGCCTAGAATTTCTCAGCCCCCTGTCTCTATCAGAACTTTGTTCCATAGAAGGAATTTCGGATAAGACTTTTGGAAAGCTTAGCCTAGCCATGGATTTGTACCATCAAATACCTATGAGTTGCATGAATTCCTCTGCTCTTGAGGTTCCAAGATAAACTTGGGGCTCCTGGAACTGTTAGAAAGTGACATGCTTTACTTACCACAGGTCAGGAACCCTGTACAGGGACTGTGTAGATAAGGTATGAGGCCAGTTCTCCCAAGGGGCTTTTATTGGCTCCATAAGTCAAATTTGATTCCTTAAAGGAGAGCACACCATTCCAGTCAAAGCCTTGGTAAAATGACCAATTTCTCCAATTGTGTCTTGTTACACATGAAAACAGATTATTATTGCACTTATGCAAATAACTGTATTGCCATAAGTTAAGAATACTCACAGATAGTTTCCAATTCTGGGGAAAATCAGGTAGAGAGAAACAAATATGCTCCAAATATTTTTCACAGGAGTATACTAACTTGTTAAAAGCTGACAACAGCTCAAATAAAAGTTTCCTTGACTAAAAAAAGGAAAACAAGGAGCAGCAACATTTTAAGCAAAAAGTCAAAAAGATTACGTTGCTCTTCTATTAGTTCAGTTCATGCAGTTAATTCCTGTTCTGCTTGCTATTCATGAACATTTCAGGTCTCCATGAGTTCTGAAAGCTTTTCCTCCATTCTGATGTCACAGTCTCCAAAGTTATTAGAAACTTGCCTTCAAGAACACGTGTTAGAGTTTTATAGCTGATTATAAAACCATCTTCTAAAAAGGACTAAAACAAAACAATTGTCCATGGGTGACAAAAAGTTTTAGGTCAGCCATAATCAAAGACACAATTGACAAGAAAATTTGTTACCACTGTGGCACACGATAATTTTATATAACAATTATAATTATTAGTGATATTGTACACCATGTCATATCAGAATTATAGGAGTTTCCCATAATTTTGGTGCACATACCAATAACATTTTTATACAAATACAGCCCAAAGAAAACCAAACACCATTTTATATTTGACAATGCTTCCTGTATAATTTTTATACCAAATAAGTCATTTATTTCATTTTTGGACTTTAGGGAAACTAATATCTTAGAGGATTAATTAGGTCAGAAAAATACACAACTTGTAATTTGATTCTGGAAACTTTGCCAAATATCAAAAGTTTAAAATACTTGATAGGTCATCATAAAATAAGTCAATTTTTCAAACATTAAGCCCAAATAAAACAGCATAAAGCCAATTAAATTTGTTTTTTGAAATTTTATTATCAATCTTTAAAATTTTAATCTTGACCATAAGATACAGCTTCCATAAGCCTTTTTTAACCTTTATAACCTTTATTAAGGGGTCGGTTAACACTTCAAGAAAACCTTTTTAATCTGATGCAGGGGCCCGTATGCTGGTATTGCATCAGTGTGCCTTTGACATCAATTATTAACTTGCAGAGAAACTGAACTTATTTTGTCTCTCAAAATCAGCCCTTACAATCTCACATGCCTACCTCTTCTGTGGTAGTTCCTGAGCCTTGAGGAGTTGAATAGCTTTTACTTCTGGCCTTATGTCTCAGGAATGCAGTTTATTTTGATTGGCATCTTCTACCAGGCCTGAAGATGAGGTTTTAATTGCTGTCAGTGCTTAAGATTTAGCAGACCTTGGTGTCCTTGTTAGACCCAGGAGTCAAAGGCCTGTAACTTAATGTCACAGGTACTTTCAAAGCACCTACAGAAATATACATGGATGTAATAACCTTAATTTTAAAAAATTATCTCAGATACTTTTTCCTGAGCAAATCAAAAATTAATAATAACAGCATAACATTGTTTCAATAAGCCATAAAATCTGTTAGGTCAATTACCCAAAGGCAAAAGAAAAGACCTTCTACACTGCACAGAATATTACTTTGGAAGAAAACATTTTCTTTAGACTTTTAGAAAACATTGTTAGCATCAGACCATAACAAATAGAATTTAAGGAAAATAACTTATATGAGCTGCAAACGAGTTGAAGGGGAGAGAAAACAGCGAGTAAACAGTTGAACTTTGGGTTAAAAAAATTAAAATCTCTTATAATTTAATAAGAGTAAATCAATCCCTTAAGAAAATTTCATCGCTCTAACTATTTTGTTTATCAGTGCTTTTTTTTTTTTACATGAAGCCCAATCTTCAGGAAGACTATTATAATTTCCTTTTAATTACAGACAACTTGACCATATAAAAGTTTGTTGGTTTTTTTTTTAATCCTCTTATTATGACTTTTACAGACTGTTCATGATATGCTTGGACTTTCTGGTTTGTTTTGAACATCCATCTTTCTTAAACAATCATTTTATTTTAGGTCTAAATTTACCATACAAGATCTTTTCTCATATGAAATTATTTCTCTTTAAGCTTCCTTACCAAAAAGAACCCTCTTTATCCTCTTTATTTTTATACCTTTCTTTACATCTCTCTGATTTCCTGGTTCCTTTTAACTTGTCTTATACATAATCTTTAAATAAGCATTGAATTAGATGACAATTGTTCACCTTTTTAAAAAGGAATTGTTTACCTAGATTATTTATGAAAACTGCAATAGTCATCATTTAAAGTTATGGAACTGCCATTGCAAAATTATAACTGAGACAGTGAAAAAGATCTGACCTAATTGACTCCATCTTGCTTCTAACCTCCAAACTGTTCTTGTTCAATCCTGGGCACAGGCTGAACAGACGTTGAGAGGAACATAGTTTATAGTTTACCTTTGAAACAAAGATTATAACAGTTCATTCTCAAACTAAATCTTACTGCCTGTGGACTAGACCACCAAAACCACAAAATTAGAAGTTACAGTAATCTCACTAAATTCAAGATGTGACTATTTTTATTAAACCAATATCAATGTCTTATTTATTAAAGATTATACAAGCAAAGATCATTCTATTACAGTTTTGTAACTCCATGGCAAATTTTGACACCTTATGGTATTTGACAGGGATAAGCATGAAATTGCTTGATTAATAAATGCAAACAAAAATGCATGCTGGCAATTTTTAAGACATGTCTAATATTACTTTACCAATAATTTTAAAGCTAGCTTATTTATTAAAGATTTTACTTGTTACATAAACTTCAGAAAGCATTCAACTAGTCTTTTCTTTTTTCCTGATAAAGTATTAGATTCAAGTGCTTTTTATCTTAAGCCAATTAATTAGAACTCTTTTATATATTTTCAGTAGCGAGAAATTGTGTACACATCACATAAATATATAGACATAGTAGGCATGCTGATAGAAGTACATCGTATAGATACTTAAGGAGCTTTTTTCCCCTATCTTAGGCTTTCAAATTCTTAATAACCTGTTTTACTCCCCTAGGGAGTTGTCAGCTAAATAGCCTTAAGTTTGCATGTTAAAGGAAACAACTCAGGCAAAAATCAAATAGCAAAATTATATCATAAGGTACAGAGAGAAAAAGTCTGGTGGTGCTAGAGGGAAGTCAAAATGGATTTAATTGCCAATTAAACATAAAATTATAAAAATTATAAAGGCCTTTTAAATAGATACACACACACACACACACACACACACAAACACACACACAGAAATCCTATAGCTTTTACTTCAGAACTTTAGCCATGAGACAAATACAAATTCACCAGGTTGCAAACAAAAAGCCTGTTGTATCCAAACAGTGGTTTTGATCTTAATAGAAAAATAACAGCAGATTTAAAGCAGGCAGAAAAGAAAATAGAGAAAAAAGAGAACTTAGGAACTCTGTAGTTTGTAGGTTGACCTTAAGGCTCTTCTTTTCTTTCTTTTTCTTTTCTTTCTTTCTTTCTTTCTTTCTTTCTTTCTTTCTTTCTTTCTTTCTTTCTTTTCTTTCTTTCTTTCTTGCTTGCTTTCTTTCTTTCTTGCTTGCTTGCTTTCTTGCTTGCTTGCTTTCTTTCCTTCTTTTCTTTCTCTTCTAAAAAAAATGAAATACACATGCAGGAGAACGTGCAGGTTTGTTACATAGGTATATGTGTGCCTTGGTGGTTTGCTGCACCTATTGACCCATCCTCTAAATTCCCTCCTCTCATTCCCCACCCCCCAACAGCCCCTGATATGTGTTGCTCTCCTCTCTGTGTCCATGTGTTCTCAAAGTTCAACTCCCATATATGAGTGAGAACATGTTGTATTTGGTATTCTGTTTCTGTGTTAGTTTGCTGAGGATGATGGTTTCCAGCTTCATCCATGTCCCTACAAAGGACATGATCTCACTCCGTTTTATGGCTGCATCGTATTCCATGGTGTATATGTACCACATTTTCTTTATCAAGTCTATAATTGATGGGCGTTTGGGTTAGTTCCATGTCTTTGCTCTTGTAAATAGTGCTGCAATAAACATACATGTGCCTGTGTCTTTATAGTAGAATGATTTGTATTCCTTTGGGTATATAACAAGTAATGGGATTGCTGGATCAAATGGTATTTCTGATTCTAGATCCTTGAGGAATCACCATACTGTCTTCCACAATGGTTGAACTAATTTACATGGGCCCTTTCTTTCTTAATGTAAATATGCACAAAGACCATATTACTTCCATTTTACTTAAACTCTGGCAAGTACAGGTGCCATAAAACCTATGGAGTGCTTGAAAGGGAATCATTCTCTTTGCTTTCTCCTCATTCTTAGATTATTTGTTTCCCAGTTTTCTTCTTAAAAAGAGGAACTGAGCTGAGGCTTAGAGGTTTTCTGTGGTGGATCAATATGTGCCATTTGTGGGCAGGACTCCACAGTGGGTCACCACTGAAAACAACAGTTCAGTTCCTCATGCAAATGCACACAGACAAGCTGAATTGAGCTTAATTTGGGGAGAAAAAGCAACAGAGAAGATCCTTTAGAATGCATTTGTGAACTAGAATTAGGATCTTTAAATGACAAATTCCTAGAAGGAAAACAAAACAACAGCCAAGACCACTTTTTGTAAACCTTGCTCAGCCACCCCTTAACTTTGTAGCTCTCATCTACCACTATACACAACAAGGTCAAAGCCAAAGAGGTCAGGTCATGCAATACAGGAAAATAGAGGTTTAGAGTTAAGAAGAATCTACCCATGACTCTTGAAACTCCACAAAGAAAACAAAACACCCCAAAAGGGGTGAGTGGCAACCTTTGTTCTGAATTCTTTAAGGGGGTTCAAGTCATTAGAAGCCTTCTCTAGACTTTTTGGTACTGCATATGGCAAAGGGGGAGGAGGTATATGGTGCAAGAAAAGTAAACGAAAGAACATTCGTGTTTTAAGACAGGAAGCAAACACAGAAACCAAGTGCATGGGTTTTTGGTTCTTTTTGTTTGTTTTCTTCTTTTGCAGCTGCAATGAATTTTAGCCAAATTAGAGAGGTTTTGTTACCCGTAATTTTGAATTCTCACTTGGATTTGACCAAGTCAGGTAGAGTTGGTCAAGTCTGATGGGAGAAAGACCAAAACAAACAACAAAATCTCCAACCATAGGATTACCAAGCACTCTAATGATAAGGAGAAATTAAGAGCAGCTAGCTGGTTGTTAAACTTTAGCCCAGACAAAGCCCCAGTTCAGCTACTTACCTAGGGATGGGTCTCAGGCTGAAGGCTGCTTTCTACCACCCTAGAAGCAGGAAAAAAACTCAAACTGGTCTTCCCTGCTGGGAGTGAGCTCAAACTCTACATGCCTTTCATCATCATGGAAGCAGGAAATCTTGCCTTCCTTGTAAAGGAAGTAAAAGTAAATCTTGCCTTCCTTATAAGGAAGTAAAAGTAAATCTTGCCTTCCTTATAAGGAAGGCAAGTAAGCAAGTAAAACTCCAAAAACAAAAATAGGTGGGGCAGTTGTACAGCAAAATGAACTTTAGTTCTTCACCAAATTTGGGGAGATCAGGGATTCTTTGGGGAGGGTGCTCCCAGACCTCAGCAAATTGTCCTATTGATTTGAGCCATAAAGTTAGCTCATGCTATTACCAGGCACCAACAGGATATTCGTCAAAGGTCAAGGGCATCTCCACTCAGAATCCTTTCACAGTTACCAAAATGTTAACCCAGAAAATCTGAGACAGGTCTCAGTTAATTGAGAAAGTTTATTTTGCTAAGGTTGAGGATGCTCCGGTGACACAGCCTCAGGAAGTCCTGATGACATGTGTGTAAGGTGGTCAGATAACACTTTTGTTTTATACATTTTAGGGAGACATGAGATATCAATCAACATATGTAAGATGAACACGGATTTGGTCCAGAAAAGGCAAGACAACTCGAAGCAAAGGCGGGACAACTCGAAGCTGGGAGGGGGCTTCCAGATCATAGGTATATAAGAGACAAATGGTTGCCTTCTTTTGAGTTTCTGATTAGCCTTTCCCAAGGAGGCAATCAGATATGCATTTATCTCAGTGAGCAGAGGGGTGACTTTGAATAGAATGAGAGGCAAGTTTGTCCTAAGCAGTTCCGAGTTTGCCTTTTCCCTTTAGCTTAGTGATTTGGGGACCCCAATATTTATTTTACTTTCACAGCCTCCTAACCTTATTTATCCTGCCTCATGTTTAAGAAGGCATCATAACTCTATGACTGAGATCTGGACAACATTTTTCTTAAGGCATCTGAAAAAATATGAAGCTTATTTTTCATATTTGAACATATCTGAACAAATCATCTTAAACTTGATTGGCTCAATAGCTTAAGGCCATTTCAGAGCTGATAATAGTCAAATAAAAGTAAAAACATCAAGAGCAGGTGCTCCTACTAGAATGCCAAGTTATAGTCACTTACCATATTCTTTCAGATTCAAATGAAGGCACCTCTCTTGGAAATTCTAATTAGGATATGCACCCCAGCTGCGACCTACTCAAGACTGAACTAATTCCAATAAAATAATTCTTAAAAAGAAAAGCGAGCCTTGAAATTTTCATCCTTTCTGGGTTTATATATATTAAAATGTTAAGTGTGGAGTTGTTTAAATTATAATGTAAACCCGTAGAGACCACAGTCAGCAATATACCATGCTATCCAGATGAACTACAGCTCAATATGCTTTTTTGTCTCAGCAGAACTCACTGGGAAATAAAGCCCACTTTTTGATTATAAATTCCAAAATGTTGTTATTGAGTAAAATGAATTCAGTACATGAAATTCTTTATAGAAGATTTCCCTTCTTTCATTGGTGTCTAATTTTCAGAAATTTGGTTTTATCTTTTTTGTCAAAACAGGGACGATAGTATTATGAGATATAATGTGTTAAAGATAAAATGTGTTTCAAGAGCTAAGGTATGAATTAAAACTGTCTTAATTTAGGATATTAAGACACATGTGCACACACACACACACACATACACACACATATACACACAGCACTTCTATTCCAATACCGTAAATTATCTATATTCGATATAGCATGTATCTTCAAAGTGATTTCAACACGGGTTGCTTTTCCTGCATCTTTGTGTAAAATATAATTGTCAGGGAATCAGTAAAATAATTATGAAAGCAATAGAGAATGATACCAATGAATTCTTATGTACAGAAATTTTATTAAAAAGCAGAGATGCAACAAAGCATAAGAAATTCACACTAGGAGAAACACAGAATATAACTGGGCGGCTGGATCTGAGGGTGCAACCTCAGTGACAAAACTGGTCCTGCAGATAATGTCTGCCTCACTGAGAAGAAGATCTGTACCTCAAAGTGATAAAGAAAATGAGGAAATTAGAGGATTGGAATAATTTCTAGCTAGTGGATTACAAATTAATTCACATTTGGTGCCACCACCGGAAGAAAAAGAAAGCAAGGGAGGGAGTTTAAAATGAATCAGAATGTTCTCAAAGAGTCAGTGAAATGGTGATGGGCTCATTGGAAACATGAGTTCCATTCTATTGAATGACATCAACCCCACTTCCTGTATCCTAATGGTCAGCACAGTAGAAGGGTCTACATCTGTGGGCCAGTGGTGAAGGGGGAGATAAGCCAGGGCAGTGGGCTCAGCAGCAAGAGGAGGCACAGCACAAGGGGCGGGGGCAGCTGGAGATGACACAGGTTGGGCGATAGCAAGTGGTGTGGCAGGAGACTCGGCCACAGACTGGACGCACGCAGCAGCAGGGGCGGCAGCAGCTGGATTCACAGCAAGAGGGGCGGCAGCAGCTGGAGATGCTGCAGCTGGGGCGGCAGCAGTTGGGCTGGCAGCACACAGACTGGCAGCACTGGGGCTTGCAGCAGCTGGACACACAGCAGCTGGGGCGACAGCAGCTGGAGATGCAGCACCTAGGGTGGCAGCAGGTCGTCTCACAGCAGCTGGGGCGACAGCAGGTGGGTTGGCAGCACACAGGCTGGCAGCACTGGGGCCTGCAGCAGCTGGACACACAACAGCTGGGGCGGTAGCAGGTGGTCCTGCAACAGGTGGTCTGACAGCAGCTGGGGCGGGAACAAGTGGGTTGGCAGCACACAGACTGGCAGCACTGGGGCCTGCAGCAGCTGGATACACAACAGCTGGGGCGGCAGCAGGTGGTCCTGCAGCAGGTGGTCTCACAGCAGCTGGGGCGGCAGCAGGTCTCCTGACAGAGGTCTTGGCCGCAGCCCTGGTCAGAGCACACGGAGCCACAACAGGAGCTGACCATGGTGTCAGAACGGGGAGGATCTGGGTGGGTTTTCAAGAGAGTGAAGTTCTTGGGTTTGGAAGTCTTCTGGGTCCATAGCCTCCTTTATACCCTGCTGAAGGCCCATTGCCACCACGTCATTATTTCCTTATTATTTACCTCGTGGAAAACTTAATCATGTAATTACATAATTGTGTGCTTCTACTTAAATACTCCAAAAGAGAGAAAATAACCCATTTCCTTTTCCTGCTGTGCTCCTGTGTTTCTATTGGAAACACTTGTCATATTTCTTCCTTAGTGGGGGTCACCTTTGTCCCTGGTCTCTGCAGTGTCTTTTACAAAGCACTGGTCACATGACTCTGACACTTTATTTCTAAATGTGATTCTCCCTCCTACCTGTAGATTGCTCTCTGCAAATCATGGGGGACAATTTTTATAATGTGAATGTGTCTTTTGTTGTCAAATAATGTCCTGGTCAGATGAAATGTTGGAAAGGAATTAGAAGGAAGGACTCATTCGGGAGAAGGATGTCCCATCTATAATGAAGATGACTCTGATTCCGTGTATGCTTCTTGAATGGTTGGGGAGATGGTCAGATCTCAAGGAAGTTATAAACTCTGTGTCAGATCTCATTCCACCACTCCAAGTGAAAGTACTTAGCCATGACTCATTGCCTTTAATGAGTAAAAACACATTTTTCTGTATGTCTTACAGCATAGGCATTTGGAGTAGGAAGTTTTGATTTACCTTTGATCATCAAAACTGCATGATGGATTTTCATTGACAAAAGCATTTGTTATATGTAAACAATATTTAGAATTATTAAGCCTTCAATAATATGCATCCAAGACATTCTATTGGGTACTCTGGGTATAGAACAGATAAACCCTCCTCTTTTTCCTGCAGGTACTTGTATAAGACACATGCATAAGAAACAGAATTTGGCAAAAATGAAAAGAATTACAATTATGTTCATTAAACAACTAAAATAAAAATGTATAGTATGTGGATAATTTCCACACACCCTCAGTGTATATATATATTACTTGTGAAGTATTGACTATGTACCAGACATTGTGCTAAATATCTTTTTCATTTTCACTCTTTAATACAACCTTAAAAAGTAGGTACATTCTTATTACTCTTTTAGCAGAATACTCAAAAGAAGCATTAAAAAGCTAAAACAAACAAACAAAATACTTGTCCAAGATTAAAGAGAAAGTAAGCCTAATATGTCTTAGTGTAGCCAAGAAAGCGATAAAGAATACAATTTGCTAAGCTTGCTGAGACTGCTTCATCTTCTTGGAATGTTTCATCTTTTTTTGTCCACTCTGCAAACTCCTACTCATGTGTCAAAACCCAGTTAAAATATTTCCTTCTCAATAATATATTTCCTAATAAGCTACCCCATTCATCTATTATTATTTCCTGTCTTGTGCTCATAATTTGATACATTCTACTGTATCATAGACATTTACTTCTTTCATTCCCCCATATACAGTGCAAATACCCTGAATGCATGGGCTATGATGTTTCTTTTTGTTACCATGATACTCAGCACAGAGAACACTGGTGATAAATGTTTCTTGAGTGAATGAAGGCTTTTTGATGACATAGAAGCATGTAAGGTCCTTTAAAAGTGTATATATCTTTTGACTTCTGGATAAAAGAGAGGAAAACATTCCAAACAAGGGGATCAGAGTTTCATTTCAGGAAAACTACACTTATTTCTATGGTAAGTAACATGTCCCCTGATAAATAACATATGTGGAAAGTTGTGGAAGTTAGGATTCTGTTTATAGAATGAGACTTGGTTATAGATAACCAGGAATACCGTGTCTTCCCACTGTGGAAGGAAAAAGAGAGGGTGAGACAGAGAAAGAGGGAGTCAAACTCATCCTTTTATAAGGAACCCTCTTTTGTGATAACAGCATTAATCCACTCATGAGGGTGGTGTCACCATGACCCAAACATCTCCTGTTAGGCCCAACCTCCCAACACTGCGGCATTGAGGATCAAGTTTCCAACACATGAACTTTGAGGGACACATTCAAACCATTGCATTCCACCCTTGGTCCCCCAAATCCATGTCCTTCTCGTACACAAAATATATTCATTTTATTCCAATAGTCCCAAAGTATTAACTTGTTCCAGCACCAACTTAAAAGTCAAAATGTAAATCTAAGAGTCTCATGTGACTCTGATATGAATAAGACTCAACACAGGACTTATCCTGAGGCAAATTCTCCTCCATATGTGAACCTATTAAAGACGTTATCTAGTTCCAAAATCCAATGGTGGGAGAGGCATAGGATAGACAGGCCCATTCCAAAAGGCAGCAACAGGAAAGAAAAAAGGGTAACTGGCCCCAGGTGAGTCCAACAGGGAAGACAGCATTAAATCTTAAGACTGGAGAATAAACTTCGACTCCATGTGCTGTCTCCTGGATGTGCCCGACATGGGGAAGGGCTGCCTGGGGTCTTGGTGTTAGGCCCCAAATGCCCTCAGATAGCCCTGCCCCATGGCTTTGCTGGGCTCAGCCCATACAGCAGCTATCTGATTGGAGTCTCTGCTGCAGCTCTCTCAGGCTAGTATTGCAGGCTGATAGTTCTACAGTTCTAGGGTCTCAGTGGCTGCTCTGACCCCCCGTTTTCCTGAGCATGGCCCTAGGAGGACCTCTCTGCTGTGGCTACACCCCTAAGGCAGGCTGTCAGAAACATCCTTTCAAACCTAGGTGGACCACCATTGCCCCACAACTCCTGCAGTCTGTGTATCTACAGTCAGTACTACATGAACACCACCAAGGCTCACAGTTTGTGGCCTCTGCAGCAGCAGCGCAAGTCTCATCTAAACCCACTTGAGCCACAACTGGAGCAGCAAAGGGGCACCGTGCTAGAATGTGGAGAGTACCAAACCCTTTCTGACCTTAAGATTCTCTCATTTGGAGCCTGTGATGGGAGGGACAGCTTCAAAGATCTTTGAAATGCCTTCAGAGCCATTCTCCCACTGATTTGATGAACAGCACCTAGCTTCCTTCTATTCATATCAATCCTTGTAACAAAGCATTACTTGGCCACAATCTTGCATGCTTTTTCATTCTTTATATGGTCAGTCTCCACATTTTCCACATCTTTATGTTCTGTTTCCCTTTTAATTATGAATTCCATCTTTAAATCATTTCTTTCCTCTTGCATTTTACTATGTGCAGTTCAAAGATGCCATGCAGCCCCAGTGCTTCCAGTCTGTGTGCTGCCAGCCCACCCAACTGCTGTCACCCCAGCTGTTGTCAGACCACCTGCTGCAGAACCACCTCCTGCTCCCACAGCTGCTCTGTGTCCAGCTGCTGCAGACCCCAGTGCTGCCATTCCGTGTGCTGCCAGCCCACCTGCTGCCGCCCCAGCTGCTGTCAGACCACCTGCTGCAGGACGACCTGCTGCCACCCCAGCTGCTGTGTGTCCAGCTGCTGCAGACCCCAGTGCTGCCATTCCGTGTGCTTCCAGCCCACCTGCTGCCACCCCAGCTGCTGCATCTCCAGCAGCTGCTGCCCCTCTTGCTGTGAATCGAGCTGCTGCTGCCCCTGCTGCTGCCTGCGTCCAGTCTGTGGTCGAGTCTCCTGCCACGTCACTTGCTATCATCCAACCTGTGTCATCTCCACCTGCCCCCACCCCTTGTGCTGTGCCTCCCCTCCCCTTCCCCTCCCCTTCCCTTCCCCACCCGTTCCCCTCCCTTTCTTCCTTTCCCTTGCCCTCCCCTCCCCTCCCCGCCCTTCCCCTCCCCTCCTCTCCCCAGTGTTAATCCCCTCCCCTTCCCCTTCCCCTTCTCTCCCTTCACTTTCCCCTCCCCTCCCCTCCCCTCCCCTCCCCTCCCCTCATTTCCCCAGTGTTAATCCCAAGAGCATGCTTCAATAAACCTCCTGCATATTGCTCTCCATCTCAGTGTCTGCTTCCTGGGGAACCCAGCCTGTCCCCCAAAACAATTTGAAATTCATGATAGCTAATTTGAGAGCTCAAATGACTGACTGAAATGTACTTTTAATATTTTAGTTCCTGAAAGAAATAAGAATGTAAACATAATAGCAGAAAACATACTTAACAGAATCTGTAGAAAAAATTATGAATTTTATATAAATCAAATTTATTATTTTCTAAGGATTTTTATATCATTTATACACAAATATATGCTCTTTAAACATTTAGACAATACAAAAGAATGCAACCAAAGGTAAGTTTCCCATCACGGTCTTTGCCAATCCCATTCAATACCTAATGTTACAAATTGAGATACATCCTCATTAAATGCATGCATAACACATGTATGTATTTATTTGAAAACTTGGCTTTCGTTGCACATCTCTTGTTCTGACATTTATTCAAACGTTATTTTATGTCCTTCAGGAAATATTAACACTTTCCTTCACATAGGCTTGGCAGATTTATTTACATATTTTTCTATTTACTCTTGAGAATTGTGAGCACATTGTTCTTTTTTAAAATTATTCTTAAAGTCCTAGGGTACATGTGCACAATGTGCAGGTTTGTTACATATGTATACATGTGCCATGTTGGTGTGCTGCACCCATTAACTCGTCATTTACATTAGGTGTTTCTCCTAATGCTATCCCTCCCTCCTCCCCCCACCCCACGACAGGCCCCACTGTGATTTTTCTCCATTAAATTTTAGAGACAATTATTGCTAGTGTATAAAAAGTCTATAGATTAGTATAAGTTCATATTTTATCTGATCTCATGATTCATACTAATACCCAGCTGACTCTCCAGGATTTTGTAGGTGTGCAATCATGGTGGCCAAGTGCCTCCAGCCTCAGGCCTGTCCCCGGGGTTCATCCCCAGATGCCCACAGTGGGGGTCCTACCATTAACACAAACACTGTTGGGATTTTCTACCTTTTCTGTCTTACTTTCGCCATTTCCTCACTTGTGCTTCCTGGGATCATCCCCCAAATAAATTATGTGCACCCAGGTATTTTTCTCAAGGTTTGCATTGGGTAGAATTTAAGTTAAGACAACAGATGATCAACAAACATTTTTGGCTGACTGATACGAAACTGGAAATAATAGTTATTTCAATCGACAAGAGTAAAACGAGGGAGTCAGGAGGTGAAGGAGAACCAGTGCTACCATCTGGCGTTTACTTCCTTCCTGTCTTTTTACTGTGTGAATATAGGCATGCACGTTCAACACTGTATTCCTGGTTATCTATAAACAAGTCTCATTCTATAAATTGAATCTTAACTTCCACAACTTTCCACATATGTTATTTATCAGATGACATGTTACCTACCACGTAAATTAGTTTAGTCTTCCTGAAATGAAATTATGATCTCTTTGTTTGGAATGTTTTCCTCTCTTTTATCCAGAAGTCAAAAGATATATACATTTTTAAAGGACCTTACATGCCTCTATGTCATCAAAAGCCTTCCTTCACTCAACAAACATTTACCACCAGTGTTCTCTGTGCTGAGTATCATGGTAACAAGAATAAATGCCATAGCCCATGCCTTCAGGGTATTTGCATTGCACGTGGTGGAATGACAGAAGTAAATGACTATGATACAGGAGAATGTAACAAATTATGAGCACAAGGCAGGAAATCATGATACATGAATGGGGTAGCTTAGCAGGAAAGATATTATTGAGGAGGAAATATTTTAACTGGGTCTTGACACATGAGTAGGAGTTTGCAGAGTGGACAAAAAAAGATGAAACATTCCAAGAAGATGAAGCAGTTTCAGCAAGCTTAGCAAATTGTATTCTTTACGGCTTTCTTGGCTACACTAAGACATATTAGGCTTACTTTCTCTTTAACCTTGGACAAGTTGTTTGTTTGTTTTAAGTTTTTAATGCTTCTTTTGAGTATTCCCCTAAAAGACTAATAAGAATATAAACTAGTTCATAAGGTTGTATTAAAGTGTGAAAATGAAACAAATGTAAGATATTTGGTACAATGCCTGCTACATAGTCAATACTTCACAAGTAATATACATACCATGAGGGTGTATGGAACTTATCCACATATTATACATTTTTTATTTTAGTTGTTTAATGAAAATAATTGTAATTCTTTTCAGTTCTGCCAAACTGTTTCCTATCCATGTGTCTTATGCAAGTACCTGCAAGAAAAAGATGAGGGTTTATCTGTTCTACACCCAGAGTACCCAATAGAACATCTTGGATGCATGTTATTGAAGGCTTAATAATTCTAAATATTCTTCATATATAACAAATGCTTTTGTAAATGAAAAATGCATCACGCAATTTTGATGATCAAAGATTAATCAGGCTGGGTGTTGGGGGCTCACGCCTGCAATCCCAACACTTTGGGAAGCAAAGGCGGGTGGATCATGAGGTCAAGAGATCAATACCATCTTGGCCAACATGGTGAAACCCTGTCTCTACTAAAAATACAAAAGTAAGCTGGGTGTGGTGGCACACACCTGTAGTCCCAGCTACTCGGAAGGCTGAGGAAAAGGAACTGCTTGAACCCAGGAGGTGGAAGTTGCAGTGAGCCGAGATCATGCCACTGTACTCCAGCCTGGTGACAGAGGGAGACCCCGTCAGAAAAAAAAAAAAAAAAAGATAAATCAAAACTTCCTACTCTTAATGCCTATACTGTAAGAAATACAGCAAAATGTGTTTTTACCCTTTAAAGGCAGTGAGTCATGGGTAAGTACTTTTGCTGGAGGCTGTGGAATAAGATCTGACAAAGAGTTTAGAACTTGTTGGGATCTGACCATCTGCCCGACCATCCGAGATGCACACACGGGATCAGAGTCATCCTCATTACAGATGGGAGATCCTTCCACAAATGAGTCCTTCCTTCTAATTCCTTCCCAACATTTCACCTGACCAGGACGTTCTTTGACAATGAAAGATACATTCACATTATAAAAATCGTCCCCCATTATTTGCAGACAGCAATCTACAGGTAGGAGGGAGAGTCATATTTAAAAACAAAATGTCAGAGAGTCCTGTGACCAGTGCTTTGTAAAAGACACTGCATAGACCAGGGACAAAGGTGACCCCCACCAAGGAAGAAATATGACAAGCATTTCCAATGGAAACACAGGAGCACAGCAGGAAAAGAAAATGAGTTATTTTCTCTGTTTTGGAGTATTTAACTAGAAACACACAATGATGTAATTACATGATTAATTTTTTCAGTAGGTAAATAATAACAAGGAAATAATGACGTGGTGGCAACGGGCCTTCAGGCGGGTATAAAGGGGCTATGGACCCAGGAAACTTCCAAACTCAAGAACTTTACTCTCTTGGAAACCCAAATAGATCCTTCACCCTCTGACACCAATGGTCAACTCCTGTTGTGGCTCCGTGTGCTCTGACCAAGGCTGTGGCCAAGACCTCTGCCAGGAGACCTGCTGCTGCCCCAGCTGCTGTCAGACCACCTGCTGCAGGACCACCTGCTACCGCCCCAGCTACAGTGTGTCCTGCTGCTGCAGACCCCAGTGCTGCCAGTCTGTGTGCTGCCAGCCCACCTGCTGCCGCCCCAGATGCTGCATCTCCAGCTGCTGTCGCCCCAGCTGCTGTGTGTCCAGCTGCTGCAAGCCCCAGTGCTGCCAGTCTGTGTGCTGCCAGCCCACCTGCTGCCACCCTAGCTGCTGCATCTCCAGCTGCTGCCGCCCCAGCTGCTGTGTGTCCAGCTGCTGCAAGCCCCAGTGCTGCCAGTCTGTGTGCTGCCAGCCCACCTGCTGCCACCCTAGCTGCAGCATCTCCAGCTGCTGCCGCCCCTCTTGCTGTGAATCCAGCTGCTGCCGCCCCTGCTGCTGCGTGCGTCCAGTCTGTGGCCGAGTCTCCTGCCACACCACTTGCTATCGCCCAACCTGTGTCATCTCCACCTGTCCCCGCCCCGTGTGCTGCGCCTCCTCTTGCTGCTGAGCCCACTGCCCTGGCTCATCTCTCCCTTCGCCGCTGGTCCACAAATGTAGACCATTCTTCTGTGCTGAATATTAGGACACATGGAGTGGGATTGATGTCATTCAGCAGGGTGGACCTCATGTATCCAATGAGCCCATCACCATCCCGCTGACTCTGTGAGAACATTCTGGTTCATTTTAAACTCCCTCCCTTGCTTTATTTTTCTTCCAGTCATGGCACCAAATACGAATTAATTTGTAATCCACTAGCTAAGAAATAATTCCAATCCTCTAAATTCCTCATTTTTTAAAATCATTTTGAGCCTACAGAATATCCTTCCCAATTAGGTACACATTATCTCCCTTTCAAACATACTATTTGTCTGTCAGCCTTTCAGTCATTCTTTTCTTTTGGAAAGGTAGGAGGCTGCCCCTCCCGTGCTCTCCCGCTTTCTCCCTGCTCCCTCTTTCTCTCACTGTTCAAGTTTGCCAGAATTTTTCTATTTTATTAGTTCTTTATCTTTATTGTGTTCACAAAATATATTGTATTAAACTTTTCATTTAGAAATCTTTTATTGTTTTTTGCATTTTTTGTGATAATTTTCACTGAGTTTACTGATTCATGGGGGTGAGGTGGGAATGCAGTAGAAGGGGATTCTCAAAGCATGATTCCAAAGTAAGACTTCAGGGATGAAATCATAGTGCCAAACTGCTCCAATGTCACACATAAACTAAAATAAAATAGAAGCTTTTGATTGTTTCAATTTGATATACGGAATGGTTTGGGATATGTATAACCCCTAGTAATGTCACAGATAAACTAAAATAGAAGAGAAGCTTTTCATTGTTTCAATTTGATATACGGAATGCTTTGGGATAGGTAAAGCCCCCAGTATTGTTGTTTGTAAGTTCATCCATTATTTTAGAACTTATGATATCATGGTAATACTCCTCACTCTTCTGTGTGAAATTTAAAAAGTACATCTCATCCTACTGCATTCCATCTTGATTCAAATCAGTTAAGGCAGACTCCAAATGTTATATAAGGGAATTTTGTTATTTTGTTGTTGGTGGACCAGTTCAGATTCTTGAATTTGCTGCGCGAAAGAATTTGAGAGCAAATCCAAAGTAAGAGTAAGCGAAGAAGTTTGTTGCAAAGCAAAAGTACCCTTTGAGAGGCAGAGTGGGCTGCTCAATGGGAGAGACAGCAGCTAGTGCTGTAAAAGGAATTCCTCTCATGAGAGCTATACGTACATAATCAAAAAGTACCGGTGAGGTCAAGTATGCAAAGGCAGACCTGCGGTTGGCACATGTGCTCAGGATCAACATGGTGTAACACCCATTGCATGTATCATTAGCATATGAAATCTCCGCCTAGGGGTGTTTTTCTTGTTGTGGCTGTTTTTACTATTAAAATGAGGAAAAGGTTACTATAAGCTGAACCTTGAGCCTAGCTGTGCATGCAGGACCCCAGAGAAGTCCCTGCCCACCCTCCCACACACCCCACCCCTGGAAGGAATTTGTAGTTAGGAGTTTCTTGGGCTTTTGGTGCAAATTGGCTAGAGATTGGGGAAGCTACATCAGGAATAAAGGGCTTTTGCTCTCTTTCCCAGGTTGTACTAGGTATCAGGAACTTGTAACCCTCTGGTGGGTCTGCTGGTATTCCGTAGGACCCCTTATCTTGCGAAAGAGTTAGGTGCTGATGCACGAAGGTTCAAGTGAAAAGAACCTGCTGTGAAAGGCTCCTGCTGGGCTTCACACAGGGGACAATTCAGTATAGCCTTCTGAACCCGCAAAATCAGAGAGAGGTCTCAGTTTATTTAGAAAGTTTATTTTGCCAAGGTTGGGGATGTACACCTGTGACACAGCCTCAGGAGGTTCTGAAGACAGGTGCCCAAAGTGGTCAGAGCACAGCTTGGTTTTATACATTTTAGGGAGACATGAGACATCAATCAACATATGTAAGATGAACAGTGGTTCCGTCCGGAAAAGGCCGGGACAACTCTAAGTGGGGAGGGGCTTCCAGGTCATAGGTAGATAAGAGAAAAATGGTTGCTTTCTTCAGAGTTTCTGATTAGCCTTTCCAAAGGAGGCAATCAGATATGCATTTATCTCTGTGAGCAGAGGGGTGACTGTGAATAGAATGGGAGGCAGGTTTGCCCTAAGCAGTTCCCAGCTTGACTTTCCCCTTTACCTTAGTGATTTCAGGGCCCCAAGGTTTATTTTCCTTTCACATTTCCGCCCATTTCTTCTTAAAAATCTTTTTGAGAAAGCATTTTAGAAGAAAGTCAGTCTTTGGTCTCAAGTTTCATCTGATATCTCATGGCTAGGATTGTTTATTCCTAGACAGATAATTCCTGAGTTATTAGGAAAGTTCATTTTTAGCAGGTTGTGAAGTTTCATGTCCTATGAAGAGAAAATAGGGAAAGGAAGGGAGAAAAACAAAAATAAACAAAAGAACAATCCTGGAAAATCAATATGGGCCACATTACTCGGAAGTCCATATATCAGTAGGCAGGTATGAAAGAGGCTCAAGTATGTGAAAAGGTTGCTAATATTTTCTTCTGAAGTTTAAATCTTATAGCTGCAGTTCACAGGGCTTTATAAAAGCACAGATGAGTTTTCGGTGACTCCAAATTAGGAAAAATGGTGGAAAGAAGAAGAAGAAAAAAACTGAAGACAATCTTTTGAAGACCTGTAGCCAAGAAAAATTAGAATTCAGTCCAAACTGTAAAAATTAATAAAAATGGAAAAACATTAGGCAAGACTAGAATCTAACAACAGGTGTACTATCATTTTTTGAAACAATTCTTCTCTCTCCCATTTACCATTTTTACTAAAGACAAATCATGGCAGAGCTGATTTGCTTTATTATACTTGACCTGATTATTGTACACAGCACAGTCATAGTAATAGTAATAATTTTTTTGCATAAGCTTTTAAATTCTCTTTGATGGAAGTGAAGCAGGATGTTTCCCTGACCCTTCTGTGGGACTTGTGACAGGGCCTCATTTATTCAGCCTGCCACTCTCACCTCCTTGCAGGAGAGAGCATGCAAGCAAATGAGGCAGGAACTGGAGTGCATGAGTGCTGGAATCAGCACTTCAGTGCTGCAGGATCAAACTTCACTCACTTGGACCTGCTGCAGTCCCCTGCTCATGAAAGGAAGCATGCAGGTGAATGGGTGCAGGAGCCAGAGTGAGTGCTTTTGGGTGCTGGCAGGAGCAAACTCTGTGCGGGCCCCACAGCAGCATCTAGGTGGAGGTGCCTGCAACTCCCATAGCCCCAGAAGTCATGTTACAGTGCTCTTTTAACTCTGCCTTCCATGGATGGCTTAAGTGTCAACAGCTCACTGAGCCCTCTGCCTTTTTGCATGAGGCAGCTGCCCTCCACCAGCAAGAGCAGAAGGCCAGTGTGACAGCCTTTTGTATCTGCTCTCCTGGCTCCCAAGCTCTTGTCTGGTGTCCAGGAAAGGTGAGGTCACATGAACCTATCAAAGGATGGTAAATGTGGGGGATTTTGTTACTGATGAAAGTGGCTCTTAGCAGGAAGAGAGCTGAAAAAGGATGGGGTGGGTAGGTAATCTTCCTCAAAGTTAGGCTGTATCCAGCCGGATTCTTCTCCAAGGTTACACCATCAAGCTGTCCCTCTGCAGTCAAGCTGCTTCTCTCTGATGTCCGGCTGTAGTCCCCAACATCCAGCTGCTTCTTGCCTCTGCCAGCTCAGTCTGAGATCTTCACAGGCACAGGATGGGACAGGATGGGGCCATGAGTGGTTTAGAAAAAGGCAACTTTCAAGCAGGAAAACAGGGATATAAGTTGTCACTTTGGGCCATGGTTTAAGGCTTTTCAGCTTGAAGGTGGGGTTTTGTCAGAGACCTATCCTTTTCTGCCTAGAATTTCCCTGTCCCCTGTCCCTATCAGAACTTTGTTCCATAGAAGGAATTTCGGATAAGACTTTTGGAAAGCTTAGCCTAGCCATGGATTTGTACCATCAAATACCTATGAGTTGGGTGAATTCCTCTCCTCTTGAGGTTCCAAGATAAACTTGGGGCTCCTGGAACTGTTAGAAAGTGACATGCTTTACTTACCACAGGTCAGGAACCCTGTACAGGGACTGTGTAGATAAGGTATGAGGCCAGTTCTCCCAAGGGGCTTTTATTGGCTCCATAAGTCAAGTTTGATTCCTCAAAGAAGAGCACACCATTCAAGTAAAAGCCTTGGTAAAATGACCAATTTATCGTGTCCTGTTACAAATGACAACAGATTCTTATTGCACTTACGCAAATAACTGTATTGCCATAAGTTAAGAATACTCACAGATAGTTTCCAATTCTGGGGAAAATCAGGTAGAGAGAAACAAATATGCTCCAAATATTTTTCACAGGAGTATACTAACTTGTTAAAAGCTGACAACAGCTCAAAAGAAAAGTTTCCTTGACTGAAAAAAACAAAATAAAGGGTCAGCAATGTTTTAAGCGAAAAGTCAAAAAGATTACTTCAGTCTTCTGTTAGTTCAGTTCATGCAGTTAATTCCTGTTCTGCTTGCTATTCATGAACATTTCAGGTCTCCATGAGTCCTGAAAGCTTTTCCTTCATTGTGATGTCACAATCTCCAGAGTTATTAGAAACCTGCATTCAAGAATACCTGTTAGAGTTTTATAGCTGATTATAAAACCATCTTCTAAAGAGGACTAAAACAAGACAAAAATTGTCCATGGGTGACAAAAAGTTTTAGGTCAGCCATAGGCGAAAACACAATTGACAAGAAAATTTGTTACCACCATGGCACAAAATAATTTAATATAACAATCATAATTATTACTGATAATGTACACCAGGTCATATCAGAATTATAGGAGTTTCCCATAATTTTGGTGCACATACCAATAACAATTTTATACAAATACAGCCCAAATAAAACCAAACACCATTTTATATTTGACAATGCTTCCTGTATAATTTTTATACCAAATAAGTCAAATTATTTCATTTTTGGACTTGAGGGAAACTAATATCTTAAAGGATTAATTAGGTCAGAAAAATACACAACTTGTAATTTGATTTTGGAAAGTTTGTCAAATATCAAAGGTTTAAAACACTTGATATGACAGGTCATCATAAAATAAGTCAATTTTTCAAACAATAAGCCCAAATAAAACAGCATAAAGCCAATTAAATTTGTTTTTCAAAATTTTTTAAACAATCTATAACATTTTAATCTTGACCATAAGATACAACTTTCATAAGCCTTTTATAACCTTTATAACCTTTATTAAGGGGTCAGTTAACACTTCAAGAAAACCTTGTTAATCTGACACAGGGGCCCATATGCTGGTATTGCATCAGTGTGCCTTTGACATCAATTATTAACTTGTATAGAAACTGAACTTATTTTATCTCTCAAAATCAGCCCTTATAATCTCACATGCCTACCTCTTCTGTGATAGTTCCTGAGCCTTGAAGAGCTGAATAGCTTTGATTTATGGCCTTACGTCTCAGAAATGCAGCTTATTTTGATAGGCATCTTCTACCAGTCCTGAAGATGAGGTTTTAATTGCTGTCAGTGTTTAAGATTTAGCAGATCTTGGTCTCCTTTTTAGATCCAGGAGTTAAAGGCCGGTAACTCAATGTCACAGGTACTTTCAAAGTGCACACAGAAATATACATGGATGTAATAACGTTAATTTTTTAAAAAAATTGTCTCAGTTTCTTTTTCCTAAGCAAACCAAAAATTAATAATAATGGCATAGGAATTGTTTCAATAAGCCATAAAATCTGTTAGGCCAATTACCAAAAGGCAAAAGAAAAGACCTTCTACACTGCACAGAGTATTACTTTGGAAGAAAACATTTCCTTTAGACTTTTAGAAAACATTGTTAGCATCAGGCCACAACAAACGGAACTTAAGGAAAATAACTTATATGAGCTGAAAACAAGTTGAAGGGGAGAGAAAACAGCAAGTAAATAGTTGAACTTTGGGTTAAAAAATTAAAATCTCTTATAATTTATTAAGAGTAAATCAATCCCTTAAGAAAATTTCATCGCTGTAACTAATTATTTAGTCTATAAGTGTTTTTTTTAGCATGAAGCCCAATCTTCAGGAAGACCATTATAATTTCCCTTTAATTATAGACAACTCAATCATATAAAAGTTTTTTGGTATTTTTTTAAAATAAATCCTCTTATTATGACTTATAGAGACTGTTCATGATATGCTTGGACTATCTAGTTTGTTTTGAACATCCATCTTTCTTAAACAATCAGTCATTTTATTTTAGGTCTAAATTTACCATACAAGATTCTTTCTCATATGAAATTATTTCTCTTTAAGCTTTCTTACCAGCACAGGCTGAACAGACTTTGAGAGGAAAATAGTTTATAGTTTACCTTTGAAACAAAGATTATAATATTTCATTCCCAAAGTAAATATTACTGCCTGTGGACTAGACCACTAAAAGCCACAAGATTCGAAGTTATGGTAATCTGACTAAATTCAAGATGTGGCTATTTTTATTAAACCAGTATCAATGTCTTATTTATTAAGGATTACACAAGCAAAGATCATTCTATCACAGTTTTGTAACCCCATGCCAAATTTTGACACCTTATAGTATTTGACAGGGATAAACATGAAATTGCTTGATTAATAAATGCAAACAAAATGCATGCTGGCAATTCTTAAGACATGTCTAATATTACTTTACCAATCATTTTAAAAGTAGCTTATTTATTAAAGATTTTACTTAAGTTACATAAACTTGAGAAAGCATTCAACTAGTCTTTTCTTTTTTCCTAATAAGTATTTGATTTAAGTGCTTTTTTTCTTAAGCCAATTAATTAGAGCTCTTTTATATATTTTCAGTAGTGAGACATTGTGTACACAACACATAAATACATAGACCTAGTAGGCATGTTGATAGAAGTACATCTTATAGATTCATAAGAAGATTTTTCCACTATCTTAGACTTTCAAATTCTCAATAACCTGTTTTAATCCCCTAGGAAGTTGTCAGCTAAATGGCTTTAAGTTTGCATATTAAAGGAAACAACTCAGGCAAAAATCAAAGAGCAAAATTTATGTCTTAAGGTACAGAGAGAAAAAGTCTGGTGGTGCTAGAGGGAAATTAAAATGGACTTCATTGCCAAATAAACATAAAATTATAAAAATTATAAAGGCCATTTAAATACACACACACACACACACACACACACACACACACACACACATCCTATAGCTTTTACTTCAGAACTTTAGCCATGAGACAAATACAAATTCACCAGCTTGCAAGCAAAAAAACTGTTGTATCCAAACAGTGGTTTTGATCTTAATAGAAAAATAACAGCAGATTTAAAGCAGGCAGAAAAGAAAATAGAGAAAAAAGAGAACTTAGGAACTCTGTAGTTTGTAGGTCGACCTTAAGGCTCTTCTTTTCTTTCTTTCTTTCTTTCTTTCTTTCTTTCTTTCTTTCTTTCTTTCTTTCTTTCTTTCTTTCTTTCTCTTTCTTGCTTTCTTGCTTTCTTTCCTTCTTTTCTTTCTCTTCTAAAAAAAAATGAAATATACATGCAGGAGAACGTGCAGGTTTGTTACATAGGTATATGTGTGCCTTGGTGGTTTGCTGCACCTATTGACCCATCCTCTAAGTTCCCTCCTCTCATTCCCCACCCCCTAAGAGCCCCTGATATGTGTTGCTCTCCTCTCTGTGTCCATGTGTTCTCAAAGTTCAACTCCCATATGTGAGTGAGAACATGTTGTATTTGGTATTCTGTTTCTGTGTTAGTTTGCTGAGGATGATGGTTTCCAGCTTCATCCATGTCCCTACAAAGGACATGATCTCACTCCGTTTTATGGCTGCATCGTATTCCATGGTGTATATGTACCACATTTTCTTTATCAAGTCTATAATTGATGGGCGTTTGGGTTAGTTCCATGACTTTGCTCTTGTAAATAGTGCTGCAATAAACATACATGTGCCTGTGTCTTTACAGTAGAATGATTTGTATTCCTTTGGGTATATAACAAGTAATGGGATTGCTGGATCAAATGGTATTTCTGATTCTAGATCCTTGAGGAATCACCATACTATCTTCCACAATGGTTGAACTAATTTACATGGGCCCTTTCTTTCTTAATGTAAATATGCACAAAGACCATATTACTTCCATTTTACTTAAACTCTGGCAAGTACAGGTGCCATAAAACCTATGGAGTGCTTGAAAGGGAATCATTCTCTTTGCTTTCTCCTCATTCTTAGATTATTTGTTTCCCAGTTTTCTTCTTAAAAAGAGGAACTGAGCTGAGGCCTAGAGGTTTTCTGTGGTGGATCAATATGTGCCATTTGTGGGCAGGACTCCACAGTGGGTCACCACTGAAAACAACAGTTCAGTTCCTCATGCAAATGCACACAGACAAGCCGAATCGAGCTTAATTTGTGGAGAAAAAGCAACAGAGAGGACCCTTTAGAATGCATCTCTGAACTAGAATTAGGATCTTTAAACAACAGCTTCCTGGAAGGAAAACAAAACAACAGCCAAGACCACTTTTTGTAAACTGTGCTCAGACACCCCTTAACTCTGTAGCTGTCATCTACCATTATACCCAGCAAGGTCAAAGCCAAAGAGGTCAGGTCTTGCAATACAGGAAAATAGAGGTTTAGAGTTAAGAAGAATCTACCCATGACTCTTGAAACTCCACAAAGAAAACAAAACACCCCAAAAGGGGTGACTGGCGACCTTTGTTCTGATTCTTTAAGGGGGTTCAAGTCATTAGAAGCCTTCTCTAGATTTTTTGGTACTGCGGATGGCAAAGGGGGAAAGAGGTATATGGTGGAAGAAAAGTAAATGAAAGAAAATTTGTTTTCTAAGGCAGGAAGCAAACACAGAAACCAAGTGCACGGATTTTTGGTTCTTTTTGTTTGTTTTCTTCTTTTGCAGCTGCAATGAATTTTAGCCAAATTAAAGAGGCTTTGTTACCCATAATTTTGAATTCTCACTTGGATTTGACCAAGTCAGGTAGAGTTGGTCAAGTCTGATGGGAGAAAGACCAAAACAAACAACAAAATGTCCAACAAAACGATTACCAAGCATTCTAATGATAAGGAGAAATTAAGACCATCTGGTTGTTAAACTTTAGCCAAGACAAAGCCCCAGTTCAGCTACTTACCTAGGGATGGGTCTCAGGCTGAAAGCTGCTTTCTACCATCCTGGAAGCAGGAAAAAAACTCAAACTGGTGTTCCCTGCTGGGAGTGAGCTCAAACTCTACATGCGTTTCATCATCATGGAAGCAGGAAATCTTGCCTTCCTTGTAAAGGAAGTAAAATAAATCTTGCCTTCCTTGTAAAGGAAGGCAAGTAAGCCAGTAAAACTCCAAAAAAAAAAAAAAAATAGATGGGGAAGTTGTACAGCAAAATACACTTTAGATCTTCACCAAATTTTGGGAGATCATGGATTCTTTGGGGAGGGTGCTTCCAGAACTCAGTAAATTGTCCTCTTGGTTTGAGCCATAAGGTTAGCTCATGCTATTACCAGGTACCAACTGGATATTTGTCAAAGGTCAGGTGCATCTCCACTCAGAATCCCTTCAGAATTACAAAAATGTGAACGCTGAATATCTGAGACAGGCTTCAGTTAATTTAGAAAGTTTATTTTGCCAAGGTTGAGGATGCTTCAGTGACACAGCTTCAGGCTGCTCCAGTGACACAGCTTCAGGAAGTCCTGACAACATGTGTGTAAGGTGGTCAGATAACACTTTTGTTTTATACATTTTCGGGAGATATGAGGCATCAATCAACATATGTAAGATAAACACAGATTTGGTTCAGAAAAGGCAGGACAACTCGAAGCAAAGCCGGGACAACTCAAAGCTGGGAGGGGGCTTCCAGATCATAGGTATATAAGAGACAAATGGTTGCATTCTTTTGAGTTTCTGATTAGTCTTTCCCAAGGAGTCAATCAGATATGCATTTATCTCGGTGAGCAGAGGGGTGACTTTGAATAGAATGAGAGGCAAGTTTGTCCTAAGCAGTTCCGAGTTTGCCTTTTCCCTTTAGCTTAGTGATTTGGGGGCCCCAATATTTATTTTACTTTCACAGCCTTCTAACCTTATTTATCCTGCCTCATGTTTAAGGAGGCATCATAACTCTATGATTAAGACCTGGGCAACAATTTTCTTAAGGCATCTGAAAAAATGTGAAGCTTATCAATGATATCTGAACAAATCATCTTAAACTTGATTGGCTCAATAGCTTAGGGCACTTCAGAGCTGATAATTGTCAAGTAAAAGTAAAAACATCAAGAGCAGGTGCTCCTACTAGAATGCCAAGTTATAATCACTTACCATATTCTTTCAGATTCAAATGAAGGCACTACTCTTGGAGATTCTAATTAGGATATGCACCCCAGCTGCGACCTACTCAAGGCTATGAACTAATTTCAAAAAAAAATTCTTTTTTTTCTCAATTTATTTATTTATTTATTTATTTTTATGATACTTTAAGTTTTAGGGTACATGTGCACAACATGCAGGTTAGTTACACATATACATGTGCCATGTTGGTGTGCTGCACCCATCAACTTGTCATTTAACATTAGGTATATCTCCTAATGGTATCCTTCCCCCTCCCCCCACCCCCACAACAGGCCCCGGTGTGTGATGTTTCCCTTCCTGTGTCCATGTGTTCTCATTGTTCAATTCCCACCTATGAGTGAGAACATGCGGTGTTTGGTTTTTTGTTCTTGCGATAGTTTGCTGAGAATGATGGTTTCCAGCTTCATCCATGTCCCTACAAAGGACATGAACTCATCATTTTATATGGCTGCATAGTATTCCATGGTGTATATGTGCCACATTTTCTTAATCCAGTCTATGATTGTTGGACATTTGGCTTGGTTCCAAGTCTTTGCTATTGTGAATAGTGCCGCAATAAACATACATGTGCATGTGTCTTTACAGCAGCATGGTTTATAATCCTTTGGGTATATACCCAGTAATGGATTGCTGGGTCAAATGGTATTTCTAGTTCAAGATCCCTGAGGAATCGCCACACTGTCTTCCACAATGGTTGAGCTAGTTTACAGTCCCACCAACAGTGTAAAAGTGTTCCTATTTCTCCACATCCTCTCCAGCACCTGTTGTTTCCTGACTTTTTAATGATCGCCATTCTAACTGGTGTGAGATGGTATCTCATTGTGGTTTTGATTTGCATTTCTCTGATGGCCAGTGATGATGAGCATTTTTTCATATGTCTTTTGGCTGCATAAATGTCTTCTTTTGAGAAGTGTCTGTTCATATCCTTTGCCCACTTTTTGATGGGGCTGTTTGTTTTTTGGTCTTTGACAAACCTGACAAAAACAAGAAATGGAGAAAGGATCCCCTATTTAATAAATGGTGCTGTGAAAACTGGCTAGTCATATGTAGAAAGCTGAAACTGGATCCCTTCCTTACACTTTATACAAAAATTAATTCAGGATGGATTAAAGACTTACATATTAGACCTAAAACCTTAAAAACCCTAGAATAAAACCTAGGCAATACCATTCAGGACATAGGCATGGGCATGGACTTCATGTCTAAAACACCAAAAGCAATGGCAACAAAAGCCAAAATTGACAAATGGGATCTAATTAAACTAAAGAGCTTCTGCACAGCAAAAGAAACTACCATCAGGGTGAACAAGCAACCTACAGAATGGGAGAAAATTTTTGCAATCTACTCATCTGACAAAGGGCTAATATTGAGAATCTACAATGAACTCAAACAAATCTACAAGAAAATAATTCTTAAAAAGAAAAGTGAGCCTTGAAATTTTCAGCCTTTCTGGGTTTATATATATTAAAATGTTAAGTGTGGAGATGTTTAAATTATAACGTAAACCCATAGAGACCACTGTCAGAAATATACCATGCTATCCAGATAAAATACAGCTCAACATGCTTTTTTTTCTCAGCAGAACTCACTGGGAAATAAAGCCCGCTTTTTGGTTATAAATTCCAAAATGTTGTTTATTGAGTGAAATGACTCGAGTACATTAAATTCTTTATAGAAGATTTCCCTTATTTCATTGGTGTCTACTTTTCTGAAATTTGGTTTTATGTTTTTTGTCAAAATAGGGACAATAGTATTGTGAGATATAATGTGTTCATGATAAAATGTGTTTCAAGAGCTAAGGCATGAATTAAATGTCTTAATTTAGAATATTAAGACACATGTGCACATACACACACATATACACACAGCACTTTTATTCCAATACCTTAAATTATCTATATTTGATATAGAATGTATCTTCAAAATGATTTCAACACGGGTTGCTCCTCCTGTGTCTTTGTGTAAAATATAATTGCCAGGGAATCAGTAAAATAATTATGAAAGCAATAGAGAATGATACCAATGAATTCTTAAGTGCAGAAAAGTTTATTAGAAAGCAGAGATGCAACAAAGCATAAGAAATTCACCCTAGGAGAAACACAGAATACAATTGGGTGGCTGGATCTGAGGGTGCAACATCAGTGACAAAACTGGTCCTGCAGATAATATCTACCTCACTGAGAAGGAGAATCTGTACCTTAAAGTGATAAAGAAAATAAGGAAATCAGAAGATTGGAATAATTTCTTAGCTAGTGTATTACAAATTAATTCACATTTGGTGCCACCACCAGAAGAAAAAGAAAGCAAGGGAGGGAGTTTAAAATGAACCAGAATGTTCTCACAGAGTCAGTGAAATGGTGGTGGGCTCTTTGGAAGCATAAGGTCCATCCTATTGAATGACATCAACCCCACTTCATGTATCCTAATGGTCAGCACAGTAGAAGGGTCTACATCTGTGGGCCAGTGGTGAAGGGGGACGTGAGCCAGGGCAGTGGGCTCAGCAGCAAGAGGAGGCACAGCACAAGGGGCGGGGACAGGTGGAGATGACACAGGTTGGGCGATAGCAAGTGGTGTGGCAGGAGACTCGGCCACAGACTGGACGCAGGCAGCAGCAGGGGCGGCAGCAGCATGGGCGGCAGCAGCTGGATTCACAGCAAGAGGGGCGGCAGCAGCTGGAGATGCAGCAGCTGGGACGGCAGCAGGTTGGCTGGCAGCACACAGACTGGCAGCACTGGGGCCTGCAGCACCTGGACACACAGCAGCTGGGGCGACAGCAGCTGGAGATGCAGCAGCTGGGGTGGCAGCAGGTGGGCTGGCAGCACACAGACTGGCAGCACTGGGGCTTGCAGCAGCTGGACATACAGCAGCTGGGGCGGCAGCAGCTGGAGATGCAGCACCTAGGGTGGCAGCAGGTCGTCTCACAGCAGCTGGGGCGACAGCAGGTGGGTTGGCAGCACACAGACTGGCAGCACTGGGGCCTGCAGCAGCTGGACACACAACAGCTGGGGCGGTAGCAGGTGGTCCTGCAACAGGTGGTCTGACAGCAGCTGGGGCGGCAGCAGGTCTCCTGACAGAGGACTTGGCCGCAGCCCTGGTCAGAGCACACGGAGCCACAACAGGAGCTGACCATGGTGTCAGAACGGGGAGGATCTGGGTGGGTTTTCAAGAGAGTGAAGTTCTTGGGTTTGGAAGTCTTCTGGGTCCATAGCCTCCTTTATACCCTGCTGAAGGCCCATTGCCACCACGTCATTATTTCCTTATTATTTACCTCGTGGAAAACTTAATCATGTAATTACATAATTGTGTGCTTCTACTTAAATACTCCAAAAGAGAGAAAATAACCCATTTCCTTTTCCTGCTGTGCTCCTGTGTTTCTATTGGAAACACTTGTCATATTTCTTCCTTAGTGGGGGTCACCTTTGTCCCTGGTCTCTGCAGTGTCTTTTACAAAGCACTGGTCACATGACTCTGACACTTTATTTCTAAATGTGATTCTCCCTCCTACCTGTAGATTGCTCTCTGCAAATCATGGGGGACAATTTTTATAATGTGAATGTGTCTTTTGTTGTCAAATAATGTCCTGGTCAGATGAAATGTTGGAAAGGAATTAGAAGGAAGGACTCATTCGGGAGAAGGATGTCCCATCTATAATGAAGATGACTCTGATTCCGTGTATGCTTCTTGAATGGTTGGGGAGATGGTCAGATCTCAAGGAAGTTATAAACTCTGTGTCAGATCTCATTCCACCACTCCAAGTGAAAGTACTTAGCCATGACTCATTGCCTTTAATGAGTAAAAACACATTTTTCTGTATGTCTTACAGCATAGGCATTTGGAGTAGGAAGTTTTGATTTACCTTTGATCATCAAAACTGCATGATGGATTTTCATTGACAAAAGCATTTGTTATATGTAAACAATATTTAGAATTATTAAGCCTTCAATAATATGCATCCAAGACATTCTATTGGGTACTCTGGGTATAGAACAGATAAACCCTCCTCTTTTTCCTGCAGGTACTTGTATAAGACACATGCATAAGAAACAGAATTTGGCAAAAATGAAAAGAATTACAATTATGTTCATTAAACAACTAAAATAAAAATGTATAGTATGTGGATCAGTTCCATACATCCTCAGGGTATGTATATTACTTGTGAAGTATTGACTATGTACCAGACATTGTGCTAAATATCTTTTTCATTTTCACTCTTTATTACAACCTTATAAAGTAGTGTACATTCTTATTGCTCTTTTAGCAGAATACTCAAAAGAAGCATTAAAAAGCTAAAACAAACAAACAAAATGCTTGTCCAAGATTAAAGAGAAAGTAAGTCTAATATGTCTTAGTGTAGCCAAGAAAGTGGTAAAGAACAAAATTTGCTAAGCTTGCTGAAACTGCTTCATCTTCTTGGAATGTGTCGTCTTTTTTTGTCCACTCTGCAAACTCCTACTCATTTGTCAAAACCCAGTTAAATATTTCCTCCTCAGTAATATCTTTCCTGATAAACTACCCCATTCATTTATCATTATTTCCTGCCTTGTGCTCATAATGTGATACATTCTACTGTATCATAGACGTTTACTTCTTTCATTCCCCCATATGCAATGCAAATAGCCTGAAGGCATGGGCTATGACTTTTCTTTTTGTTACCATGATACTCAGCACAGAGAACACCGGAAATAAATGTTTGTTGAATGAATGAAGGCTTTTTGATGACATAGAAGCATGTAAGGTCCTTTAAAAATGTATATATCGTTTGACTTCTGGATAAAAGAGAGGAAAACATTCCAAACAAGGAGATCAGAGTTTCATTTCAGGAAAACTACAATTATTTATGTGGTAAGCAACATGTCCCCTGATAAATAGCATATGTGGAACCTTGTGGAATTAGGATTCCGTTTATAGAATGAGACTTGGTTATAGATAACCAGGAATACCATGTTATCCCATTGTGGAAGGGAGAGAGGGTGAGACAGAGAAAGAAGGAGTCAAACTCATCCTTTTATAAGGAACCCACTCTTGTAATAACAACATTAATCCACTCATGAGGGTGGTGTCACCATGACCCAAACATCTCCTGTTAGGCCCCACCTCCCAACACTGCTGCATTGAGGATCAAGTTTCCAACACATGAACTTTGAGGGACACATTCATACCATTGCATTCCACCCTTGGTCCCCCAAATCCATGTCCTTCTCATACACAAAATATATTCCTTTTATCCCAATAGTCCCAAAGTCATGTTCCATCACCAACTTAAAAGTCAAAATGTAAATCTAAGAGTCTCAGGTGACTCTGATATGAATGAGACTCAACACAGGACTTATCCTGAGGCAAATTCTCCTCCATATGTGAGCCTATTAAAGAAGTTATCTAGTTCCAAAATCCAATGGTGGGAGAGGCATAGGATAGACAGGCCCATTCCAAAAGGGAGCAACAGGAAAGAAAAAAGGGTAACTGGCCCCAGGTGAGTCCAACAGGGAAGACAGCATTAAATCTTAAGACTGGAGAATAAACTTCGACTCCATGTGCTGTCTCCTGGATGTGCCCGACATGGGGAAGGGCTGCCTGGGGCCTTGGTGTTAGGCCCCAAATGCCCTCAGATAGCCCTGCCCCATGGCTTTGCTGGGCTCAGCCCATACAGCAGCTATCTGATTGGAGTCTCTGCTGCAGCTCTCTCAGGCTAGTATTGCAGGCTGATAGTTCTACAGTTCTAGGGTCTCAGTGGCTGCTCTGACCCCCCGTTTTCCTGAGCATGGCCCTAGGAGGACCTTTCTGCTGTGGCTACAACCCTAAGGCAGGCTGTCAGAAACATCCTTTCAAACCTAGGTGGACCACCATTGCCCCACAACTCCTGCAGTCTGTGTATCTACAGTCAGTACTACATGAACACCACCAAGGCTCACAGTTTGTGGCCTCTGCAGCAGCAGCACAAGTCTCATCTAAGCCCACTTGAGCCACAACTGGAGCAGCAAAGGGGCACTGTGTTAGAATGTGGAGAGTACCAAGCCCTTTCTGACCTGAAGATTCTCTCATTTGGAGCCTGTGATGGGAGGGATAGCTTCAACGATCTCTGAAATGCCTTCAGAGCCATTCTCCCATTGATCTGATGAACAGCACCTAGCTTCCTTCTATTCTTATCAATCCTTGTATCAAAGCATCACTTGGCCACACCCTTGCATGCTTTTTCATTCTTTTTTTAAAATTTTATTATTATTATACTTTAAGTTTTAGGGAACATGTGCACAACGTGCAGGTTTGTTACATATGTATACATGTGCCATGTTCGTGTGCTGCACCCATTAACTCGTCATTTACATTAGGTATATCTCCTAATGGTAACCCTCCCCCCTCCCCCCACCCCACAACAGTCCCTGGTGTGTGATGTTCCCCTTCCTGTGACCACGTGTTCTCATTGTTGGTCAGGTGGCACATTTTCTACATCTATATTCTCTGTTTCCCTTTTAATTGCGAATTCCACCTTTAAATCGTTTCTTTCCTCTTGCATTTTACTATACGCAGTTCAAAGACACCAATCAGCTCCTTCAACATTTTTCTTGGAAATTTCTTCCCCCGATATACTTGTTCATCTTTCTTTAACTCTGCCTTCCGTAAAGTCTTTAGACATGAACATAATTCAATCAAGTCCTTTGCCACTTTGTAACAAGGATGGCCTTTACTCCAGTTTCCAATTCTTGTTCCTCATTTCCATCTGAGATCTCATCAGAATAGCCTCTATTGTCCATATTTCTCTCAGCATTCTGGCCACGACCACCTAAATAACCTATAAGAAGATTCATACTTTCCCTACAGCTATTATTTTCTTCTGAGCCCTGACCAGAATCACCCTTAATGCTCTCTTCATAGCATTACAGTATTCCTTCCCTATCTGTGGATTTACTTTCCATGGTTTCAGTTACTTATGGTCAACCACGGTTCTAATGTATTAATGGAAGATTCCAGAAATAAACAATTTGTAAGTTTTAAATTGCATGCCATTCTGAGTTGTATGATGAAATATCACCAATCCTGCTCTGTCTTGCCTGGGACAAATGTCCTCCCTGTGTCCATACTGTATACATGACCACCCTTTAATCCCCGAGTAATTATCTCAGTTACCAGACTGACTGTTGTAGTACTGTAGGATATGCAGTGCTTGCTTTCAAATAACCCTCATTTTACTTAATGATGGCCCCAAAGTGCAGGCTACACTAATTTGGTTGACTTGGACTTTAGAAAATAATGTCACTTAATGCTATTCCACCATAAAATCATAATAAAATCATGTATTTTGCAGCAACATGGATGGAACTGGAGATCATTATCTTAAATGAAACAAATCAGACACAGAAAGACAAATATCGCATATTCTCACACATGGGGGCTACATAATGTGTGCACATGGACATAGAGAGTAGAATGATAGACCATGGACACTCAGAAAGCTTAGAGAGTGAGAGTGGGGTTGACAATGAGAAATTACTTAATGGGTACAGTTTATGTTACTCATGTGATGATGGCCTAAAAGCTCTGACTTGCTAATTATGCAATCTATGCATGCAACAAAGTCACACTTGTACCTCAAAACTTAAAAAATGAAATAAAATAATAATGTCATTTAGCTTCTTCCCAATACATTTAAACATAATTAAGCATCATAGCTAAAGAATGCTTCTAAGTGATGAGGTTCAAGGCTCAAGTACAGAATAATATGATTCACTTGCAATTAGCACAAAGTACATTCACGCTAGGTTAAATATATCTTCTGTAATTACATTTACCTTCCCAATTTGTCCATGAATTTTGTGGAAGATGCCAATTTTCCCTCGGTACAGGCCAGGGAAAATTAGCCTGCACATGTCCCAAATTAATAAGATTTTGTTGTATGATGATCAATTATAGCAAGAAATTTAGGAAGCGTAGGAGATATTCAGGACATTGTCCTAATTCTTTTCTATGATGTAACCTGATCATCAGAATTTCAGGTAATATGTTAGTCAAGTAATGAATTATTGCCCCAACATACAATACTCCTAGGAATACATAATGCCAATAGAATAGAATAGAGCAAAAGTGAATCACTAATGCCACAGTCTTCAATGTTCAGAATATTCACAGGGTCATGTAGGGATCGGCTTAGGGCCTTGAAGAGCCCTGTGTGACTCACAGGTGGGATCACAATAGCAGGTCCATGTGTGCAGATGAGCTTTATATTGGTCAGAAATGTTCTTTTGGAAGGTCTTTGTTGGGTTTGATATAATCGGAAATTAGGAGTCCTATACAGCTATAGATCATCATTCACTTATCTATTCAACAATGGTGAGAACTCTCTCATTCTGTTCTACAGACTGTGCAGGAACCTCCATTCTACTTGTTCTTTAAGACTTAGGTGCTATTACCTCCACAAGCAAACCTTTCCTGATGCTCTCTGCCCAAGCCACCTCTCCCTTAAGTTGCCCTCTTCTAAGATCCTGGCAGCATGTTTCTCATGTGTTTCATATTGTTGAATTTATTGTTAGCTTTTTGAAAGCTTTTTGGAGATATAATTGACAAGTAAAAATTGCATATATTCAAGGTGTACAAAATAATGTTTTGATATACATATACATTGTGAAGTAGATGACCACAATCAAACTAATTAACATATCAATCACCTCACATAGTTATTCTTTTTGTGGTGAAAATACTTATGTTCTAGCAAATTTCAAGTGTACAATACAGTATTGTTAACTATAGTCACATTGCCATACATTCAATTTCCAGAACTTACTGATTTTGGATAGCTGAAACTTTATACTCTTTGACCAACGTCTACCAGTTTCTTCCTCATTCCACCCCATGCAACCACCATATAAGTCAGATCATGCAGTATCGGTCTTTGTGTGTCTAGCTTATTTCACTTAGCTTAATGTCCTCTGGGTTCATCCATGTTGTTATAAATGACAGGATTTTCTTCCTTTTAAAGGCTGAATTGCATTTTGAATAATGACATTTATATACATTTTCTTTATCCACTCATCTGTGGATGGGCATATAGATATTTCTGTATCTTAGTAGCTGTGAATAATGCTGCAATGTACATACAAGTGCAGATATCTTCAAGATAGTGATTTTATTTACTTTGGATATGTATCCAGAAGTGGAATTGCTGGTTCACAGGTGAGTTCTATTTTTAATTTTTTGAGGAGCCTCCATACTGTTTTCCATAATGGCTGCATCAAGTTACATTCCCACCAACAATGTATAAGAGTTCCCTTTACACCACATCCTTGCCAACACTTATCTTTTGACTTTTTGATAACAGCCATCCTAACAGGCATGAGGTAATATCTTATTGTGGTTTTCATTATCACTTCCCTGATGATTAGTGATGTTGAGCACCTTTTCAAAGACTACATTTGACAGTAATTTAGAATTCTCAGGTCAATTGGGAAGTTGGAACACAAAGGGAGAGGAAGAATGGTGGCTGTTGGATAGAGAGGGATGTAAGAGCTAAATTCTCATCACACATAACAGTGGGCCAATAGATAATATCTAAACTTTAAAAGTCAAGAAATAGTACTGTAACCACACCATTTAGAAAGATCTTTTTTCCTAGAGTTCTCCCTCCAAAATCTTCATCTTACTGTTCTCCTCTGCACTGATTGCTTTCTAGGCTTGCTGTACGGTTGCCATTTTTGGATTTACCTTGAATGCAATTCTGATTTTCTGACTTGAAATTCCTGTTTTCTGAATCTGTGTTCTCCTCTTTGTCAACTTCTTCTTCATGTTGGTGGTGCACATCCTCCAGACGTTACTTTAGAAAGGGTTCACGGACAATAAGGATTTTTTTGGGCTTTTCATATCTGAAAATGTTACTATTCCTTTGTTTCTGTTTGGTAGTTTGGCCAGGCATGGAATTCTAGGCTAAAAAACATCCCACTGAGAAATTTTAAGGCATTTCCCATTGTCTTCTGGCTTCCGGTGTTGATGTTGAAAAGTGTGATGCCATTTCGCCTCCTGAACCTTGGTATGGGAACCACATATTATTTTCCTCATTGGACGCTTTTAGTACCATTTTCATATCCCTAATATTCTGAGATTTCACAGTGATGTATCTTGATGTAAGCCTTACATTCACTGTTCTCAGCGCTGGTGGTCTTTTAATCTGGAGCTCCCTTCTGAAAGAAATTTTCTTATACTATTTCTTTGATAGTTTTCTCCCTTGTATTTCCTTCCTTCCTTCTTCTTTCCTTCCCTCCCTCCCTTCCTCTTTCTCTATTTCCCTTTCTTCCTGTCTTCCTTCCTTTCTTTTTCTTCCTTGTCTTTCTTTCTTTTCCTTCCTTCCTCTTTCTCTTTCTTTCTCTCCTTTCCTTCCTCCCTCTCTTCTTTCCTTCCTTCCTCCCTCCTTCCTTCCCTTCTTCCTTCCTTCCCTTCTTCCTTCCTTCCCTTCTTCCTTCCTTCTCTTCCTTCCTTCCCTTCTTCCTTCCTTCCCTTCTTCCTTTCTTCCTTTCTTTCTTTCTTTCTTTCTTTCTTTCTTTTTCTTTCTTTCTTTCTTTTCTTTCTCTTTCTCTCTCTCTCTTTCTCTCTCTCTTTCTTTCTTTCTCCCTTCCCTTCCTGTCTTCTTTTTTCCTTTTGAGACAAGACTTCTCTATGTTGCCCAGGCTGGCTTCAAATCCCTGGGCCCAAGGGACCCTCTCACCTCAGCCTCCCAAGTAACTGGGACTATAGGCACAGGCAACCATTACACCTGACTCCTTATGTTTTCTCATTTGTCTTTCTAAAATTTTTCTTCATTGAGTGGTAGATCTCCTGAATTGATCCTCTGTGTTATTATAGTTTCTTTAATGTCCATTTCTTTCACTTCTTTTTATAATTTTTTTTACATATCTTCAAGACAGGAGAACAAATTATTTGACTCCTTGTTCTACTTTACCTTCCAAACATTTTACTGAACGTTTTTCTAATTTTTTCTATCACATTTTAATTCTCAAGCTTTCACTCAACTTCTCTGACTGCTCCTGTTTCTTAGAATCTTGTTTTTATTTCAAACAGAATTTCTTCTCTTAGCTCTCTTGAGTATTTTATTTACAATAGTTCTTGTTTTACAATTTTTTAGTTCTATTCTGCTCCCTGTAGTTTCTATTCCTGTCAAATTTGTTTTTCCCCCTTTTTCTTTTTTTCTTTTTAAATTAGTGTGAATTGTCAGGCTGGAGACATTTCCCAAGTGTCTGAAGCATATTGGTTAACATGGCACTAAAAAGCCAATTGAAAGTTCTGTGTGGACAGCAGGGCTTGTTAATTGATCTCTTCACCTCTCCTCCCCTTCATCCACAAAAAAGAAGTCAAGATTTATATGTTTAGTTTCTTTAGAGGAGAATCTTCCAATATCCTGCTTGGAAAGCTTATGGCCATCAGTCCTGGATGCTGAGCACAGTGCTCAGATTTTCACTGCATGAGTCTGTTTTCTGTTCTATTCTTGACTTTTGTTCACTTTAGTATTCCCAAATCTGGAGTCTCTGTCACTAAATTTTCTGGAAGATAACCCTTGTTTCTCCTGGTTGGAAGTGGGGGAGGCCTAATGACCAACTTTGTAGGGTGGGGTAGGGATCCAGGGGTCGAAGCATCCTGCTGCCTACCCTGCCTTCAGGTGTATTACCTGGTGACTCCGGGTTCTGAGCCTTTCTGAGGATTCAAGGAAAACCAACTTTACACTCTGTGGTACTCTCTCTGTATGCATTCACATTGTAGCTCCTTTTGTTATCTTTAGTTGACCACCATTGCTCTTGCCCCAAATTTGCTACACTTTCTTATCTGCTATTGTCTCCTGTCCTGAGAAAGTAAGATGAGGGTTTCTGTTTTTTAACACCTTTTAAAAGTTGGTGTATCATAATGGATTCAAAGAGGATAAGAGGACATAAAAGTTAATTTTCTGACATTTTAAGGACCTGCTATTACTAAACTGTTAAAATTAGACTTAGTATCTCATATATACACTCCCCCTTAAGTGTTCCTGAAGTAAACTAGTGCCCATGCTCCAGATGTTGGTGAGATTCTTTCTCTGTGTTTCCAAAGCATGTTAAATAATCCTGAAGGTTAATTTTATTTTCCAATATTTTATTCACGCCTAAACTGCATTGAAGGGCAAAAAAAATTGTGGCATGCCTGTGGTCCCAGCTACTTGGGAGGCTGAGGTGGCAGGATGGCTTGAGTCCAGGAGTTGGAGCTTGCAGTGAGCTGAAATGGTGCCACCACACTCCAGCTTAGGTGACAGAATCAGACCCTGTTATTTTGATCCACACAAGCTATTGGTCATGTGTGAAGGCAATGGAAAGATTTCCTCATAGATTCAAGGACTCGGGATATATAACTTCCCTTTAAAATTCCTTTAAGAAATATTCCCATTGACTGAAATACAAGTCAAAATAAAGAATTCCATTACAGTATAGATGTCATGCATAAAATAATGGTTCTGAGAGATGAAGCTGATAAAATTTAAAAAGATTCAAATATATTCTAAAAGTGGTAGGGGATAAAAATAGCAAAGAATACACAAGTGGTAGGCAAATTAAAAAATGGGGTAACAATACCTATATTTTCTGGTAATAAAGTGGGTGTGGTGGCTTGCACCTGTAATCCCAGCACTTTGGGAGACCGAGGTGGGTGGATTGCTTGAGCTCAGGAGTTCAAGACCAACCTGGGCAACATAGTGAGACCCTGTCTCCACAAAAAATACAAAAATTAACTAGACATGGTGGTGCATGCCTGCGGTCCTAGCTACTTGGGAGGCTGAAGTAGCTAGGGGAGGTTGGCTTGAGCCGTGGAGTTGAATTTTGCAGTGAGCTGACATGGTGCCACTGCACACCAACTTAGGTGACAGAGCCAGATCCTGTCTTTTAAAAAAAGGAAAAAATTCAAAAATGAAGATAACATATTTATAAATGTTTATGTGCCATAGAAGAGATCATAGAAATGAATAAAACAAATACAGTTTTGCAATATGCAGATATGACAGAATAGGCATCATTACTAGTTTGAGGCTCTGATAGATTTCTCAGGCCTAGGTACTTAAGCAATACTGAAACGAGAAACAGCTTGTATAGACCATTTATGGTCCTGGAATAAATTGAAGAGGGATGCCTGAGCCCAAAGATACGATTCTCACGTCGCATTACCATATCAATTTCTGAATATGTTGTTTTGAGTTTTGTGCTTACTTTACTTTTTTATTTTCCTCTTCAGCTAAAAGTTTTGCCTAGAGCTCTTGAGCCTACTGATATCATTTTGATTGATATCATTTTGAAATGGAAGGAAATGGCTTGAAAAGACACAGGAAATACAATATGAACTGAACTCCCAATGCAAAAGGGAATCTCAAAGTTATAAAGGAAACACAGGTAGCTGGGTGACTTGATCCAGGTCATGTGGAGTGAGCCCTAACCTTTGCATGTCTCATAGGTAGACCTGCATGCAAATTCTGCAATTGGAGCTTTAATGGAGCATGAGTGGATGAATATCATTAATGGGTCAGTGAAGCATCTCAAAAATAGAACTCATCTGCAATTCCAATTTGGTTTCCATCACTTTCTTTCCCATAATGACGTGTTTCATCACTCATGCTCGCTGATTTTCCCACTGACTCTATGGCTTCAGCCTAAAATTATGCCTCTTATTTTTCCATAGAACTCACCATGAATTAATCTTGACATATCCCTCCTCCTTAAAAGGACTATAATTTTTTAAATGTCTTTTTAATAAGACTACCCTTCATAAAGATATAAATATTCGGCTGTGATCTGATTCTCCTTCACATAATCTTACGTGTTTGAGACCTGTGCATGTTAACCTGAATTTTCAGAATTGACACATTTTATTTCTATGAATCAATCCTTACGTATGTATTACTTTTCTCCAATAGAATAGAGTCCTTTTTCTCACTAATATTACCAACATACTCTCCCTGACATATGCATTTAAATTAAATTCATGATTAATTGAATTAATTGAGTGGAGAGGGAAAGGAAAGAAAAATAACTTTCAGACCACGTGTGGTGGCTCAAGCCTGTAATACCAGCACTTTAGGAGGCCGAGGCAGGTGGATCACCTCAGTTCAGGAGTTCAAGACCAGCCTGATGAACATGAAGAAACCCCGTCTCTACTAAAAATACAAAATTAGCCGGGCATGGTGGTTCATGCCTGTAATCCCAGCTACTTGGGAGGCTGAGGCAAGAGAATCACTTGAACCCGAGAGGCAGAGGTTGCCATGAGCTGAGATCATGCCACTGCACTCCAGCCTGGGAAACAAGAGCGAAACCCCATCTCAAAAAAAAAAAAAAAAATCCATGATTATGTTGTGAGTTACCTAAGGGAAAAGAAGTGGGTCTCATTCATTTTATGCAATTCCCAGAGCCCAATAGCTTGCTAATTTGTTCTTAATTTAATTACAGTAAAAATTGAGTTCTTGTTTTGTCTCAATAAACTTGATGGCAGGTAAAGTGAGCAATCTGTTTTGGATTAAAAAATGAATTATTTGGCATTTTCTCTAATACAGGCTTTGGCTGATACATATAATATCAATTTTTTTGTTATTGCCCATACAATAGGAACTCAAACCATTTTACAAATAAATAATCAACAGTAAGAAATACTGAAAGGTCACAAATGTTTTTGATACCAAGAGAGTGTTTATTGAGATATAGTTACTCTACCAGACGTAATTCATTGCAAAGTCCAGACCACACTCGGCAATTGTAAGCTTAGAAGCCTGTTCCAATGAAATAGTGTGAGATATCTGGTCATCTGACTGCACACCAAGCATAGAAGTTGGAGGTTTTGTACGATATGCATTTAAATTTTTGCTTTTAAAATAGTTGCTTGGTGGAATGAACAATGAGCTATATAAATGTAGTGGTGGATCAGGGCAAGGCCAGGTCCAGTGGAGAAGGGGAATGAGAATGACTGGTACACTGACAACAAGGTGGTTGAACCAGGGCTGGTGGTCAGGAATGAAGTTCAACAGCAAGAGGATTCATAGGAGACTGGACCACAGCAGGTGGTCTGGTAGCAGACTGGACAGCAGCAGCTGGACACACAGCAGCCAGGGTGGCAGCAGCTAGAAGTGCAGCAGAAGGGTGGCAGCAGGAGGGCTGGTAGTACTGGGGATTATAACAGCTGGGCCTGGAGCAGGTGGACACACTGCAGCTTGAGTGGCAGCAGCTAGAAATGCAGCAGCTGGGGCAGCACAGGGACTGGCAGCACGGGGGCCTGCAACAGCTGGACACAGAGCAGCTGGGATGGTAGCAGATGGTTCTGCAGTAGGTGGTCTGGCAGCAACTGCAGCAGCAGCAGGTCTGGCAGAGGCCTTGGCCACAGCTCTATTCAGAGCAGACAGAGCTACAACAGAAGCTGACCATGGTGTCAGATGAGAATCGCAGATGACGAGCAGAAGGAGGCACTTCTTCCTGTACAATGTGTCTCCATGTGGTTCAAGGAAGTAGCCACACTCACCAAGCAACAAGATAAATGGTCTTTGACCCACACAAGATTCACCGGAAATACTGATATCCTTTCAAGTCACTAAGTCTTTGGTCTTTCCCGCCTTGTAAAAAAGCTTGGCTCTTTATGCCGTACTTCACAGAGCCCTACTCCTGATTCATCTTCTTGAGAATACAAAGTCGCAGTTATATTTGAATTTAGGCCACAGTCTTATGGATGGAATTGCACCCAGCAAGGAGTTGATGAGAAGGTCATGGCCTTGGACTCTTCTTGGCATCTTCCTAGAACATCTCAGGCAGTTTTGTTTTTAATAAATATAGATTTCTAGGCAATGCTCTTGGATATGCTGTGTCACTTGATTATTATCCTGAGTAGCTGGGATTACAGGCACCTGCCACCATGGCCAGCTAATTTTTGTATCTTTAGTAGAGCCAGGATTTAACCATGTTGGCCAGGCTGGTGTTGAACTCCTGACCTCAAATGATCAGCCCACCTCGGCCTCCCAAAGTGCTGGGATTACAGGCATGAGCCACCACTCCCATCCCAAAATAGAATTTCTAATGAAATAGACATAATCTAATTTGATCTTCTAGAAGTCTTTTCCAAGCCTCACACAAAGATTATTAAAATAATTGATTCTCTACTTTGGTAGATTAGATTATTCCTTATTAATGTTTACTCTCCCCCCTCCTCCCACCCAACTCCAGAAGTATCCTCTCCCACCCTCTGACTTGGACTTTGCCATGTGAGTTGCTTTGACCAATGAGAAGGCATGACCCGAAGACTCAAAATGTGAGATTGTTCCCTTGGGCCTTTGTTCTCAGAGGAGGATGGCCCCTAAAATACCGGACACTCCATTAAAATGGAATTCCAGACAAACAACAAATAATTTTTAAATGTAAGTATACCCATGCATAATCAGATATAATTGTAATAAAATTATTTGTTGTTTTTCTGAAATTGACATGTAACTGGGGAACCTGTATTTTTATTTGCTAAATATGACAACTCTCATTCAAAAGAAAGTCCCAAACCAACCTGTGGGCAGAAGCTAAGGCCAACCTTAATCAACCAAACCCCAACTAACCTACAAATATATGACCAATAAATAAATACTTGTTACAATAAGCTATGAGAGTTTGTGGTTGCTTGCTATGCAGCAATAGCTGTCTAATTCAACCATGGTAGCAATGTGAAGCCAGCTTAATACACCAATCAATACACAAGGATGAACAGATGGCTTTCTACAAAGAAAATAAAAATAGAACAGTGGCCAAGTATTTGTGACAGGGTTGGTTTTATGGTAAATTTTGATAAATTTTCTGGAGGGGATAGTTAGTTAAATTTTTAGCTTTATCAATATAATGAGGATTAATGGATAGTGCAAAGTGAGCCTATTCAAATTAATTCAAAGGAGAATCTCATTTTCATAAGCCTATTTGTGAAAACACAGCTTTCGATTTAGACATGCTTGGATTTGAATCTAGACTGTTATCTAAGAGCCTACAGTTCAATGCTGTTCTGGTCAGGCTATGGCAGAAGCTCAAGCTGGAAGAGTGCTTCACAAAGGAGCCTCAGGCTCAGCCCGCTGCCCTCCCACAGAGGAATGGCAGGTGCCAGCCCCTTTATACTAGGATGAAGGCCAAGGTCCCAGAATCCCAAGGGCCTTTGCCCCTATCTGATGGCTTCCGCTACGCCTTGACTTGTGCAGACACCTGCATGGGGCTACTGTAGGTGTATCCCAGCAAGTATGTTACCCAGAAAACCACCATAAAAAGACTGGAGTTATATGTAGCCTGTGGCGTCCCCACTGATATCAACAGTGCCCAGGGCTCTCACTTTACCATATACAAAGTGCAGGAATCGGTGGAGGCCCTGGATATCCATTGGCATTTCTACCTGCCATACAACCCTATAGCAGCGGGGCTGATTGAATGGATGAAACAACCATTGAAGAAACAACTCTGGCAGGAGACGCCCTCTCTGGCTCTGTGGACACACTGCTTACCAGCACCCATCTGCGCCCTGAATGAAACTATCCAAATTAGATGTATCACTTTGCAAAATCACATGCCCTGGACGCTTAGTGTGGATCTTCTGCATTAATTAAAACTGAATGTTGTGTATATATATCCCTGATTACTCTCACAATGTAACTCAGGCCGTGCAGGCCCAAGATATCCCTGAATTAACAGGTGTGCTCTCATCTCCCCAGTGCACACACTCTTCTGGCTCAAGGACCTGATACCACCATCACGATCCAGGTTGACAGTGTAAGGGATGGTACCCCCCTCCTTTGCCTCAACCTGGGACTCAACCTGGGGCTATGCCCTTGCCATAGGACCTACCCACTGGAGAGCACATCATTACATGGGCCCGGAAATCACAAACCAGCCCCAGTTGGTACAGTTTTTTCACTCCATGGGGCAAGGGCGTAGAAAATGATATACAGATCACACCTATTTTACATCCTATTCCTCCTTGTACTTCTAAAATAATCAATCCTAGTCCCCACTTGTGCAAGGGAGTGATCATCCTGTCATTATGGGACATTACAATATCCACACTGTCTTACTGTGGCTGCAACGTGTTGCAGAAGTGGGCAATCCATGTGGTATTGCAAACCAGGCACAGGTTGCTGCTGGGGGTGGTGATCTCTCAGAACGACACAACTTCCTGTCTTGTTAGATGGCCTGACTTGCCCTTTCTTCTTTTTTTTTTTTTTTTTTGGAGATGGAGTTTTGCTCTTGTTGCCCAGGCTAGAGTGCAGTGGCATGATCTCAGCTCACTGCAATCTCTGCCTCCTGGGTTCAAGAGATTCTCCTGCCTCAGCCTCCCAAGTAGCTGGGATTACAGGCATGCACCACCACGCCTGCCTGATTTTTTTGTATTTTTAGTAGAGACAGGGTTTCACCATGTTGGTCAGCTGGTCTCGAACTCCAGACCTCAGGTGTTCCACACGCCTTGGCCTCCAAAAGTGTTGGGATTACAGACGTGAGCCACTGTGCCCGGCCAACTTGCCCATTCTTCTACCCACTAGGTATCTCACCTGTCACCCATAGGTGGTGTACCTCTTCACCAACTGGGTGCAAATGGCGACCTTTCCCCAAAACAAAACAGACTGTTGCATCTGCAGGGAGCTGCCCTTCTCCTCCAGCATCAGCCTGCCATGGTGCATCCAAGCAGCTAACCTCAGTATCTGGAGCCATTTCTATACTTGGTATAATGACCCTCACCCATTTCCCTTTAGCAATAACCACACTTCATGTGATAAGTTTCCCACCATCAGAGATGAGACAACATATTTTCCACCTAGTATAGGAGCAGGTTAATGTCACCCCCACTGTGGGGTATTCTGTAGATGATGGGCCAGGGTGGACAACAGCAGTATAGATACAGCTTGTGGGCTGTGCACCCACATGTATTAAAAGGCATGATAATAGCATGCCACAAGCTAAAACCAGTAGTATGGGATGGCTACCCCCACAGTGTAATGTAATCTATTTCTTCAGGTAATAGACATGGAATATGACAGCAATGAAACCAATCTCTTCAGGTAACCAGTGATACTTGACTGCGACGACAGAGTGACTCTCCACCTGGGGGCCTACCACACCCCTTAGGATGGCTGTGGGCATGCGGCATCCACAGTTGGCCTTACTTACCCTATAACTGGACTGGTAGATGCACCTGGGGACATCCTCATTTGCTGGGATACATCGTGCCCAGTTTAGACACCATTCTTACTAACTGGGAAATTGTAAAAGCCAGGCACTGCTGGAAGCATGCATCCCTGTGGTTTTACCCGTTGGCCACTTTTGCCATGTCCCCCCCCCCACTCCCCCCACCACTCACCACCCAAGTGGTGACAATAGACATACAGCTGCAAGTTGAGGCCCTGGCTTAACATAGGGCTGCAGTCTTTAATGATATCTGCCATGATATTACTCTTCTCACTGAAGAAACTGCCCAAATTAGGTGTGTTACTTTGCAAAATTGCATGGCCCAGGACATCTTAACCGCTTATCAGGGCAGAACCTGTGCATTAATTAAAACTGAATTTTGTGTATATATCCCTGATTACTCTCACAATGTAACACAGGCCATGTGGGCCCTAGATACCCAGATTTCTGCTATAGAATCTCTATCTTATGACCCTGTAACCACATGGTTTAATCAACTCCTGAGTGCTTGGAAAAACTTTCTATACAGTACAATTGTTGTTACATTCATTATTCTTTTTTGTTGTAGTAGTTTATGTTGCTGCTGAAACATCTGGTTGCAATGCTCCTCTGCATATCCTAGCCCCAGGGAAATCTCAGAAGAATGGTGTGATTAGAATGTAAGGGCTATTCAAGGGTATGCTGAGGTGGAGGGTATGGCAGACACATCTGGCAGCAATAACTTAACTTAAGCATACCCTGAGAATGATCCTACAATCAAAGAAGAATGTATGCTTGGAGTTCTGAGCTAAGGATCTGGGAGTGGCCAACTTGGAGATCCACTCCTTATCTATGAAGGACATTTGAATCCCCACCTCATCCATTAGAACACAGGTCATACTGGGGATTGAGGCCCTTTGTTTTGGATTAAATGGAGGTTGTTAGGTGGAGGGTTCTAATGAAAATACTGTGTGAACTGCATGCTTTTTACAAATAATAGCAGTTCTCCTGTCCAGATACCACCACTGGACCACCCTTGTATGTAAGTTCCACTAATAAACCCTGCATCATGTTAGCTTTCTCCAGGTCCCTTCTCTAGCCTCTCAGACACATTGTCATACTTAGTGGAGTCAATGGGGGTCCAGGATGACAATGTGTCATCTGGGCAAAACATTTCCCTAATTCTCTTCCAGTACCACTTCTAACCTTGCTGCTGAAAGGAAAGTTCATTACTTATTTTTTTAAATCTGTGTTTAATATGTATAAATGTAAGAGGTTCAAATGCAGCATTGTTACATGGATATATTGCATAGTGGCATGAAGTCTGGGCTTCTACTTTAATATATGTTTTCTTTCCTGTCTAAAGACCATGGTTTACTGAATCCAATGAGCATAAAACTCATAGTAGGGGCTACTTACTGCAGACTGAGGAGACCTGGATCTCAGACCTCATATGGTGACCTCATTGTGTGACCTTGGTACACTCTCAGGACCTCAGCCGTAGAGTGAGGGCATAGGCCTACATATTCTCCGCAATCCCTTCCCGGACTCTACAGATGCAACGACTAATTCCAAACAAATTACAAATATAATAATTGCAATGGATCCTTGAAGAGGGTTTTACAATCAAGGTAGAAGTTGAGTTTGGATTGGAAGGATGAGGAGGGCATTCCAGGTGAATGATGACACATCAAAACCAAGGCAGGAAAGCCCAGGTCCTAGTCAGGGGAGAGTGACCACACCAGTGGCCAGGGATCTGCATTTCGTGTGGTCCCTGCTCATATGAAAAACCACAAGCCTATCTTTAAGTGAGTCATGGAAGGAGCTATCTGTGAAGCAGATGACTACTGGTCTGCACTAGGATGATGCAATTAACCTGCTACCATCATGCCCATGTGCATTAATAAGGCAAGTCACTGCTTGGGTGCCGGTGATGGGAGCCTTTGAAGACAAGGAATAACATGCTAATTTTAGCGCCAAAGGGCAGAGCGATTAGACACTAATTTAGAAAACACATTCTTTTCTCTCTTATGGGTTAGGAATATTTCAAAGGAAAATTAATCAGAAGTGAATCCAATGTCTAAATTTAGTGAGGATAAACAATACAAGAAAATGAGCGAATATTTGTGGTGTATGTACATGAATATGTATGAGGTGAAGAGTGACCAAAATACCATTAGTCAATGCTAAATCTTCACTTAATTGGCCAGAAGATGCACAAGAAAATGATCATATGTTGAAGGGTCATCAGCTCCCAGCCAGGGTATATAAAGGGCCCAGAGGGGGAGGAGGACATTCACACCTGAGAACATCCAGCTCCTCTCAATAGCCCAACCCACACCAGCCTCAGACACCACCATGACCGGCTCCTGCTGCGGCTCCACCTTGTCCTCCCTGAGCTACGGGGGAGGCTGCTGCCAGCCCTGCTGCTGCCGCGACCCCTGCTGCTGCCGCCCCGTGACCTGCCAGACCACCGTGTGCCGCCCCGTGACCTGCGTGCCCCGCTGCACGCGCCCCATCTGCGAGCCCTGCCGCCGCCCGGTGTGCTGCGACCCCTGCTCCCTGCAGGAAGGCTGCTGCCGCCCCATCACCTGCTGCCCCTCGTCGTGCACGGCTGTGGTGTGCAGGCCCTGCTGCTGGGCCACCACCTGCTGCCAGCCTGTGTCTGTGCAGTCCCCCTGCTGCCGGCCCCCCTGCGGCCAGCCGACCCCTTGCAGCACCACCTGCAGGACCTCCTCCTGCTGAGACCCCAATGCCCCCACAGAGCAATACACTGAAGCCTAAACATCTATCTGGTGTTTTTAAAAAGTTAAAAGAAAAATAGATTTTTTTTCACAAGGTGACAATAGTGATTTTTACCATCTGGATACAGCCTGGTGTAAGCAGACGTCCATTACCACCCTCACCCACATTTTCAGGTGTCTACATCAGCCTTAGTCATTATGGATAGTAAATCGACCTTTAAGAATTCCTGGGGTGGACTTTGCAAACACATTCTACAACCTGATGGTTTTTACTGCTCAAACTGTCACCATCATCTTTTGCAATGTGTTGCTCACTGTTGTCAATAAACTAATTTTTCCTGGCATAGCAGACTGCCCTGCTCCCTGATTTGTTCGTTAGTGCATGTTTATTAGCGTACACAGATAAGCAAGATTTTGGAACCTGCACAAGGGAAACAAAGCTCAACCTAAGCAAAACCTTATCCATAGAAATCTCATCTATTCAGTCATTCAGGAATTGTTTATCAAGGGACCTCCAGTTGACAGGTGCTGCCTGATTAGTGATGAACAAGCTACATGCCTTGTATCCAAGAAGCTTATGGTCTAATGGAATAGACAAAAGGAAAGACAATGTTCATGAAGAGGGGTAGAAGTGGGAATAGCATATGCCAAGCCCAGAATGACCACTGGTAGTAAACTGACCAGCACAGCGCATCTCATCTTCTTACCACAGTTCCTAGAGTAGCATTTTTCAAAGTGTGGCCCATGCGTCATACACAATAGAATCTCTTGCAATTGCCTATTAAAATGCACATTCTTAGGCCCCAAACCAAACCTAATGAATCAAAATCTCTGGGAGTGGGGCCCAAGGCTGTTTATTTTCTATCACTTCCATGTAATTCATTAGAATTTCAGGACCATTATTTCAGAGGAAGACCAGGATTTGAGCTCCTTGAGGGCTTAACAAGCATGGCCTGGAAGCCTTCCAAGAATAGTCACAAGGACAAGCCACAATGAAGACACCCAAAGTGAAGAAAAAAATGTAATATAATAATAAGTATGAAACAGCACCTGCTAAACTGTAATCAGAAGAATCGGTTTGGCAGAGAAGTGAATGTAAATGAATGTGCAAAAAAACAGTATCTTGAGTTTGTCATAGGTGGAATAAAATGACAACAAAAAAAGAGAGACAAAAAGTAAGAGATAAGGGATGAATAAAAAGTGAAGAGGGGAGGCAAGGCAATGAATAGGAGGAAGAGTGAAGAGGAAGATGATGGAGATGATGAGAAAGACAGAAGAGGAACAGAGACAGGCACTAGGATTCCTGGTACAAGTATTTGGTATTTGAAGATGTTACAGGAGAGCTAGGCCAGTCCTCAGATTACCCATGTGGCTAGGAAGTGTGTGCACATCAGGTGGTCTGCTGCCTGTCCTTTGCCCATCTCTATAGATCCATGTCTCACTGCTCCCCACTAAGATTCACTTCAAGCAACACTGACCTTATAGTTATTAAACATTTGCAGTTCCAAATGTTTCGCTTTTCCTCATGTTCTTTCACTTATCTGTTCTTTTACACACTCTTTCTCTTCACCTTCATCACCTACTTAACTCTGATTCATTTCCAAGATTCAATTCAGTCTTCTCCAGTAGTCCTGTCCCAACCCCTGTATCACACAAACACATGTGCAAATGCATACACACACACACACACACACACACACACATACAGGTTAGGAGCTCTCAGCAAGTTCCAATAGCTTACCTCCCTCCCCATAAGGCATTGTATTGAGATTATATGTTTTTTTGCCTCCAAGGAGGGGACCACAGTTTGTTTTTGGCTTCCAATACTGAGCTCAAAGTTTAATACGTAGCCGGTACTTAATTTCTGTTTGTTTAGTTGTCAAAATAAAAGGAAATTGTCTTTACCACAAGAATTTTAAAAGGTAGATAATTATTTAAAGAAAAAATTTTGGCATTAGTGTAACTTAACCTCTCTGACTCTCGAGTTTTCTCATCCGCAAAATGGGAAAAGCAACATTTACCAATGTAGATTGCTAGGGAAGTTAAATAACAATTATAACTTTTTATGTATGCAAGATGCCTGGCACATAGTTAAATGCCCAGTAACATTCATTTATATTCCTTGTGGAGCATTTGGACATCACTGTATCGAACAGGCTCAAAAGATGTGCTATCTACTACATATCAACTCACTGGGAATGGGAACAAATTCAGGGGAGGGCTTTACTAACCAAACTTAAATTGTAATTTTTTTTCAGGATAGTCTACATCTACCAGTAGGAATAGATTTTCTAATAAATATAATGAAGAAGGCAAAAAAAAAAACCCACAACAACTTGGCATCAGATTAAGGCTGTCTCAGAATGAAAATAATCTTTAAAAATTCATTCTACAAGTCCACAGGAATGAGTCCTAGATTATAGGATTTATGAATAGGAGTGCAGCATCAGGTAAAAGAAGGATTGAGCAACATGTAAGTATCTGATGGTTCGACTCTTTCTTTCACATTGAACCTTCCAAGGGAATTAAACAACTCAAAGCTGTAATAGACCTCAAAAGATTACTTTGCCTTCCCTGACTTTAGGCAAATGAATATCTAAAAAACTCAGATGAAATTTTTAAAAAAATTCTAGCAACAAATTCCACCAGTCCCCTGATCATTTAGTTTTTCTGTCTCTCACAACTAAACTCTTTTCTTTTCTAATTATATCTAATTAATTATATCCCTTTCTCTGTCTTCCATGTTTGTATGGATTTTATGATAAGCCAGCCTCTGAAGAACACCAGGCACCGAAGACTCTGCCCATTTTACAGATGAGGAAACCTGGCTAAGGGTAAGTCATTTACTCTAAGTTAGACAACTGCAAAGAGGTGGAGAAAGGACTGGAATCCTTCTTTATCTTCTCCATTTTCCTCCTGCCCTGTGCCCGTCAATATTCCCCATCCCATCCCTGACTCTTATGATTGGAGGATATTTTTAAGATTATTTCTGAGAACGAAGTCCTTAAGGAATGTATTTTCTAATTTTAGAATTTTAATAATTTTCCTAACATCTAGTGGCTTCCAGACTAGTTCCTAACAAAATATAATTCATAAAACTATTAAGAAGAGGGCATGGCCCACCATCACAAGAGGTCACCAACACTACATTCTTTATCTATCCAACTACAAAAATCTCACAAGTTATTTTCACTGTGCTTCAGATTTACTTGTTTCCATCCTGGTGATTATGCACTTGAAGAATGTGTGGAACTTGAATAACATGACTAAAAAAGTCCATGTGGTAAAGACCAGGGATACATCTCTTGTCCAATAGCTTAGGACTATTAATGTGCTACAGCAAGGGAGACCACATGGCTGAGGACCATGGGGCATCCTCCCAAACAAAGGAGGAGAAATGTTATTATAAAATGTTGAGGAATGGTGGGGTAAAATTACGTGACATAGTGTTTTCATAGGCTCAAGAAAAACAGGGCTGTGTATAAAAAATAATTAACACCAGACCTGAGCTGTGAAACAGACTTATGGTCCTCTTTCACTGGAAACTGTATAGTTGAGACAAATGGGGAATGTTGTGTCTGCAAGTCACTTGTCTGAAATTCTGTACCTGGGTTGGGTACTGAGGTTGCTTCTCTGTCCAGATGACTTAGATCCTGTCTAGGCAAGAGTGAAATGTTTCCTTCTTACTGATGTGGCTTGGAAGAGCAAGGTTTCTAACAGCCTATAATTTTAGAAAACAGTATTTCTTAGTACTGTGTTCTTTTGTTAACAAAAGCAGTGGATTTACAGACATATTTCTCTTTTTAGTTTGGCATCTCTGTATACATTCCAAAACAAAGAACAGAATGCTAAACCATGTATCAAGTGAGTACTTATTTTATTTCACTAAAGGGAATAAAACTTTTTAATAACTACTGCTACATGTTATCTATTTTGAGTGACTCCGAGTTGGAAAAAGACTGGGAGACATCACCAGTGTTTCTACTCCACAGAAGACCTGTGGTATTGCTAAATATTTGCCACTCTTTGATCCGTACGACTTTGGAGGAATTCATTTTGTAAATCTGGTCTTCCAAAAACTGTGATGGACTATGATGGATCATAGACTCAAAGGACTTCAAAGATCAGGGATATGATAGACCAAAGGGTGTATTTTTAAAAAGAGAAAACAAAACAAAACACACCTCAGAGGTAAATTTGCACTGAAGACCATCAGCATTCCTTGGACAATGTTATCTTTAATCTACCTTCCAACTCTAAATTTATTTTCTGTATTCCTATTCATCTTTGCTATGGCTGGAAAAGACAAAGCTATTTTATTGGTCACCAGCTAAACTAATTCCCCTTGTCTTTTTCATAATGCCACCTTCCCACCTCATAAACAAACAAAACCCTCAGCCAACAAACTAAAGAAGCTGTGACAGAAAGATAATTGATTCCTTTGTAGATATTGTCCATAGATTTTTAAGTATGTAATACAAAGTGCATATGTCAAAGCAAGAAAGCAAGAAATAGCCCAATTTCAATTTTATTTCTAGGTCAATAATCAGGGAAGGGCATTCAGAAAGGCACAGAATGAATGAAATCCCCATTTAGTTTGACCTTATTGTTCCCAGAAAAGTTCTTTCCCTTTAATTGCTTGATTTATCTTTGTCTTGCCTTACTAAAAGTTATGATTACTATGTGATAGGAAACTATTTGAAAGCTATTTTTCTTTCCTTTCCCCCTCCACCCCCAAATAGTACAGTACCATCTACATAATAAGTGTCTCATAAGTGTTAATGAGTTATAAACCAACTCAGATTACTAAAATAAAATCAGTCTAGCAGCTTTGGTGATGATTTTCTTATAAACAAGGTTAGGCACTGTGTCATTAAACACTGGGCCATTCTTTCCATAGCAGAATCAATACACATCTGCTCTTATGAGCCATTTTGGTTTTTAAGAAATTCTTGCTTGATCTCAATGCCAATCAGAAACCCAGCCTGTGACTCATGAACATTCCAGTCCCATGCTTAAGTCACGGATGGCAGCGAACAAGAGGAAAGTGTGATGGTGGCTGGATTCTTCAAACTTGCACCTTCTCACATGGCATGGCCTGGAAGGACTAGCTGATAGATGAGCAATTGTTCTGATGATATACATGACCAGGTATTCCGTTCTAGGGAAAAAGTAGACAGGTAGAAAACAAAGCATTCTTTAGTGATTTAGGGATCGCTGCCTCAGCAGTTAAATCCAGAGTTCTCATTTCAACGGGCAGCTACAACTCCAGGAAATGACCTCATGTCCTGGGGGTCATCAGCATCCAGCTAGGATATATAAAGGGCCCAGAGTGGAACGAGGACATTCACACCTGAGAACATCCAGCTCCTCTCAACAGCCCAACCCACACCAGCCTCAGACACCACCATGACCGGCTCCTGCTGCGGCTCCACCTTGTCCTCCCTGAGCTACGGGGGAGGCTGCTGCCAGCCCTGCTGCTGCCGCGACCCCTGCTGCTGCCGCCCCGTGACCTGCCAGACCACCGTGTGCCGCCCCGTGACCTGCGTGCCCCGCTGCACGCGCCCCATCTGCGAGCCCTGCCGCCGCCCGGTGTGCTGCGACCCCTGCTCCCTGCAGGAAGGCTGCTGCCGCCCCATCACCTGCTGCCCCTCGTCGTGCACGGCTGTGGTGTGCAGGCCCTGCTGCTGGGCCACCACCTGCTGCCAGCCTGTGTCTGTGCAGTCCCCCTGCTGCCGGCCTCCCTGCGGCCAGCCGACCCCTTGCAGCACCACCTGCAGGACCTCCTCCTGCTGAGACCCCACCTCTCCTCTCAACGCACGAAACATTCCCAGGTGCACAGAAGCTTGTGCAGACTCTTCTACCCCTTCTGGATCAGATGAGAGACTCCACCTTTGCAGCCTAGCTGATCCTCAAGCACGAATTCAACAATAACATCCTATCTATTTCCCCACATAATTATGCAGCTAATCCTGGCCCTCTCTGACAATCTTGAGAAAAATTCCAGCTTTCATCATTCGAATTCCTGGCTTGAAAAAAAAAACGAGTAAATAAAAATCAAAGCTCCTCTTGAATAGAACTCTGTCCCACTGACTCATCACCCTTTTTTCTACTGTTTCAAGGTTCTCAGATGAGATTTTTTTCTTCCAGGATAATACTATTTGTATGCTGTATTTTTGCACTGTAAAAAAAAATAAAATTATATTTCTGGGGAAGCAAACATTTCTTTTTATTTATTGTTTATTGCTCTTCAAAAGCTCATATTTAGCTTACATTACAGCATGCAGAACCAGAAGAACGAAAGGAGAGATTTTCTAAGGGCCATTTTTGAGCTTTAGAATAGGAACAACTCAGGTGGAAGGTCTATAATTTTAATAGCATTTCAAATAAATCTGATCATCTCATGATTCACCTTCATATTTCGAGTCGCAGGTTTTATGGTGATGCTGACGAAATGGTGAGACTACAGTAGGTCTCTGTAAACATAAACTTGACTTATGAATAATTCACACACATGATAAGGGGGAGGAAGTCTAAGCTAAGTTATAGCCCTATTTGTTCACCAATGTAGGAAACTGTACGGTAATTGATGTCAAACAAGACCTGGGAATCCCTAGCCACTGAACATCCTATGCTGGAGGAACCACTATCCCATCTTCTCCATGGTTCCCGTCAGCACCACCATGGCCAGTTCTACTTCCAGTGGAGTGGCTGCTGCTGAGAAGACAGGGAGAAATGAAGCCTTGGTTGTAATCATCCTAGTTTTGAGCTCCGCATACATCTTAACCATTTAAACAACTGCAATGCGGTTGAAATGCTGATAACATTAATCCATACTGCATATATTTTTGATTTTGTTAAATACTTGTATGTTGGTAAGGAAGGCTAACCACTATCATTTTCCTGATAAATATCTTTTTAGTTCCTAGCATGTGATAGAAAAGAGATTTCTTTGATTGTTCAGCATGTATTCCTGGGCATATCTACCTGCCCATTGAGAGAAGTGAGGCAAGGGAAGCTTTGTGAGGGCAGGGGTCTTTAGTCTTTTTAATTTAAATTTATTTCAAGTTCAGGGGTACATGTGCACGTTTGTTATATAGGTAAATTGTGTGTCACAGGGTTTTGGTATACAGATTATTTCATCACCCAGGTAATAAGCATAGTAACAGATGGCCAGGTGCAGTGGCTCAAGCCTGAAATCCCAGCACTTTGGGAGGCTGAGATGGGTAGGTCACTTGAGGCCAGGAATTCAAGACCATCCTGGCCAACATGGTGAAACCCTGTCTCTACTAAAAATACAAAAAGTAGCTGGGCATGGTGGCATGCGCCTGTAATCCAAGCTACTCAGGAGGCTGAATCAGGAGAATCGCTTGAACCTGGGAGGCAGAGGCTTTGGTGAGACAAGGTTGCGCCACTGCACTCCTGCCTGGGTGACAGAGTGAGACTCTGTCTCAAAACTTAATTAATTAATTAATTTAATTAAACAAAAGCATAGTAACAGATAGATGGTTTTTTTATCCTCACCCTCTTCCCACCATCTGCCCTCAAGTAAGCTTCAGTATCTGTTGTTCCCTTATTTGTGTCCATATGTACTCAATGTTTAGCTACCACTTATAAGTGAGAACATGCCGTATTTGGTTTTCTGTATCTGTGTTAGTTTGCTTAGGATAATGGCCTCCAGCTTCATCCACATTGCTACAAAGGACATAATTTCCTTTTTTATGGCTGTATAGTATTCCATGGTGTATGTGTACCACATTTTCTTTATCCAGTCCACCCTTGATGGGTATTTAGGTTGATTCCATATCTTTGCTACTTTGAACAGTGCTGCAATAAACATATGCATGTATATGTCTTTATGGTAGAATGATTTCAATCCCTCTGGGTCCATACCCACTAATGGGATTGCTGGGTTGAATGGTAATTCTGTTTTAAATACTTTCAGAAATTGCCAAACTGCTTTCCACAATGGCTGAGCTAATTTACATTGAGGGCCAGGATCTCGACTAACTTTGTTCACTACTAGATTCCCACTGATCTGCACGATATTTGGCACATTGAGTATAATCAGAAATGATGTGTTGAATGATAAATGAGTAAGTTCTAAGGGGATTGGTTAAAACAGAGAAAGACATTATCATTCCATCCCAACTCTCAACTCATGCTGGATATGCATATTCTTAAAATAAAACAATAAACCAATCATGAAGAAAGATCTTTTTTCTGGAAATATGGTAAAAGTTTCTCAACAAGAAGACTGTTATATTCAAAAACTTTACATTTGCAGTACGTGCACAATGGAGTTTTATCTTTTTTAACGGTTTGGTAATTAACCAATGGATAGGCTCACAAGTCTAATTTCTTTCTATATATTCTTGATCACTGTTTTCAAAATTCGTTAAGTACATCTGTTTTTCTCCTCTCAGAGTTTTTCTTGTTAGCCTTCTAGAGACCTCCTTATTTAAAAGTGTTTTCTCAAATGGACAATGCCTTGTTTCCCCTCAAACCTATCATTATTATTGGATCTCATTTATTCCCACAGTCACCCCATTCTCTGGTTGGCTGAAGTGGCTGGTGCAGATCTGGGTAAGCCTATAAGAAACCATGCAAGTGGTGTGATCAATAAGAATGCTTACACTTGAACCTTCAACTTCAGATCTATTAGGCTGGTGCAAAAATAATTGTAGCTTCTGCCATTGAAAGTGCCAAAAACCACAATTACTTTTTGCACCAACCTAATAGAACAGTCTTAGTTGTAAAGGAAAAGGTCAGAACCAAGTAAATTAAGAGGCAAAGACTCAAAAGTGATTGAGTGACATAATTTGCCTACAAGTCATGACAGTTTGAAACAATTAAAAATGACAATTGGTTCCATAAGCAGAAATGAGCCCCAGCATAGCACACAGGGAGATGTTGAAGACACTGAGGTATGGGCCAGATGAGGCCCGAGAACACGTTCAAGTGGGATCACTACTGAAGGGTTTTGTTATACCGCAAGACTGCAACCTTCCTCTACATAGACTTGTTTGACTTCCTCACCATATTGGTGGCTTTGTTCACAATACCCCATAATCATTCAGTTATGCCCAACTATGACACTATCTCCTTAGGGTATGTTTCGACATTTTCAGAAGGCTGAATAGAAGGTAATTCTTCCCACTCCTGAGGCTGTTGGTAAGACATAGAGTCCTTTCAACCGACTCTAAAAATTAGACATATCATAAATAACAACTGTTTTCAAAGTAAATACACTGTAAAAGCTCCTAAATAAAATAGACATTCCTTAATACCTGGGAATGTGGTACCTACAATCCATTCTTTAGCTACAGTGAGTTCTTCAGCTTTTTGGGCTGATAAATAATGTTCCCACAGATATTTCTGGAATGAGTATTGGCTCCAACACTTACTAGGTACATGACCTTGGGTAAGTCACTTATCTGGTTCCTTATGTGTGAAATGAGAAATAAACAATATCCACATCCTAAGAATGTTATGAAGATTAGATTAATGCATGTATTTTTTAATATGATGCTTGGAACATAGTTACAACTTAATGATACTGGCTATCATGAAGATTACAGTGAAATTTACCTTGGTCTGGAAAGATACAACCATAGAAATCAATGAACATATCTCTAAGACAAAAACCACTGGATGATGGAAACCTACTAAAATGCATTCTTGTACCTCCAAAAAGGGGACAGGAAAATTCTTCTTTTACTGAGAAATCCTGACTTTTAAACTATCCCTGTAGTATTATCCTCAACTTGTTTTGCCCAGGAAGCTTAGCAGTGGCAAAGAATACTAACAACTTGAGATGCTCGCTTTACTTCAACTGCTAGCAAGTAATAACCCTCAGAGCATGCAGAGCACAACAGCTGCTTTGAGCTATCAAAACAGCAACTAGCAAAAGCGTCATTGAATTATAACGATAATTGGAGACTTTGAAGTTAGGGTCATTAAATTCATATTTGAACCATAAATAGCAAAATATAATGGGTCTACACTAAATAAGGAAAATAGACTTTTATGTGTACCTGAGCATCTAAACAATGTCTACAAAACTTACTAATCTGCTGGTGTTATTTCAGGAAGAATAAGTGAAAACAAGGAAATGACCTTGTGTCCTGGGGGTCATCAGCTCCCAGCCAGCGTATATAAAGGGCCCAGAGGGGGAGGAGGACATTCACACCTGAGAACATCCAGCTCCTCTCCACAGCCCAACCCACACCAGCCTCAGACACCACCATGACCGGCTCCTGCTGCGGCTCCACCTTCTCCTCCCTGAGCTACGGGGGAGGCTGCTGCCAGCCCTGCTGCTGCCGCGACCCCTGCTGCTGCCGCCCCGTGACCTGCCAGACCACCGTGTGCCGCCCCGTGACCTGCGTGCCCCGCTGCACGCGCCCCATCTGCGAGCCCTGCCGCCGCCCGGTGTGCTGCGACCCCTGCTCCCTGCAGGAAGGCTGCTGCCGCCCCATCACCTGCTGCCCCTCGTCGTGCACGGCTGTGGTGTGCAGGCCCTGCTGCTGGGCCACCACCTGCTGCCAGCCTGTGTCTGTGCAGTCCCCCTGCTGCCGGCCCCCCTGCGGCCAGCCGACCCCTTGCAGCACCACCTGCAGGACCTCCTCCTGCTGAGCCACCACCTGCTGCCAGCCTGTGTCTGTGCAGTCCCCCTGCGGCCAGCCGACCCCTTGCAGCACCACCTGCAGGACCTCCTCCTGCTGAGCCACCACCTGCTGCCAGCCTGTGTCTGTGCAGTCCCCCTGCGGCCAGCCGACCCCTTGCAGCACCACCTGCAGGACCTCCTCCTGCTGAGCAGCCCGTTATCACGAAGGGCCCCTCAGAAGATGGCCAGGTCCATCCCGCTGCCCCTCAGGGCTTCACCGCAGAGCAATACACGTTTCCTTGAGAAGCCCATTTCTCATCTCTTCATACTAGCTCACACTATGCATTGAAGACACCTTTTCAGACCAACCACAGATGAGAAATACTTTTCCTAGGACTCCAGTCTAACTCCTATATCATGTTGTCTGCTTTCTAATAAACTCAATACTCCTACCATAGAAATCATGGTCTTTGTGATATTTTCTTCTGGGAGATTGTCTCTTTTTTTCTAGAGATACTCAAAGCAAGATGCAGAATAATCCTCTTATACAGTTCTCATAACTTAAGTCTGAGTAGTTTTCTTATAATCATTGTAAATGGCATTTATGGAGCACAGCTGAGTCAGGAAGATGGATACAACTATGACTTTATCATGTGTACAGAGTCACTTGTGCCCAAAATTCCAGGCATGCATTGAACACCTGAGAAATGTTCTGCAACAAGAAACACGCTAGGAGGCCGCACCTGGGTTGAAACTTACATTCCCAGCCTAATGGTGTGTTTACTGATCCGACACCTGTTGGAACATCATAGAACGCCCAGGGTGTTAGAGGTGGAAGAAGCCTTAGGCAACCTCTGGCCAATTACCTCTGTTTTTGAAGTTAAAGAAACATGAATAATGTAAGAGTAAATAAGTTACTTACTAATGTAATTATAATCCCAAAAGTTCAGAAAAGACCCTGGAGAATACAAGTTTCCTGCATTTAGACCTCAGGTCAAACACTTCTTAGTATGGTGAGAGACATGTTAATCACAAAATGGTTGTACATTCTACAACTTTATTTTACATTTCAATAGCCACACACACACATATACACACTTCCTAGGAATACATCTAGCCAAGGAAGTGAAAAATCTCTACAGAGAAAACTACAGAACACGACTTAAAGAAATGATAGGTGACACAAACGAATGGAAAAACATCCCATGCCAATGGATTGGAAGAATCAGTATCATTAAAATGACCACACTGCCCAAAGCAATCTACAGATTCAATGCTATTTCTATCAAGCTACCAATGTCATTTTTCACAGAACTAGAAAAAAACTATTCTGAAATTCATAAGGAACCAAAAAGAGCCCAAATAGCCAAAGCAATCGTAAATAAAAAGAAAACTGAAGGCATCACATTACCTGACTTCAAACTATGCTATAAGACTACAGTAAACAAAACAGCATGGTACTGGTACAAAAACAGAAAGTTGTAAAATATAAAGTGGCATAGACAAAAGGAACAGAATAGAGAACCCAGAAATAAAGCCATGCTCATACAACAATCTAATCTTTGATATCATTAACAAAAATAAGCAATGAGGATAGGACTCCCTATTCAATAAGTGGTGCTGGGATAGCTGGCTAGCTTTATGCAGATGATTGAAACTAGACCCTGACTTTCACCATATAGAAAAATTAACTCAAGATGGATTAAAGATTTAAATGTAAGACCTCAAACTTTAAAAACCCTAGGAGAAAATCTAGAAAACATAATTCTTAACATCAACCTTGGGAAAGAATTTATGACTAAGTCCTCAAAAGCAATTGCAACAAACACAAAAATTGGCAAGTGGGACCTAATTAAACTAAAGAGCTTCTGCACAGTAAATGAAACTATGAACACAGTAAATAGACAACCTACAGAATGAGAGAAAATATTCACAAACTGTGCATCCAACAAAGGCCTAACATCCAGAATCTATAAGGAACTTAAACAATTGAACAAGCAAAAACAAATAATCCCATTAAAAAGTGGGCAAAGGACTTGAACAATCACTTCTCAAAACAAGACATACAAGCAGCCAAACACACATGTGAAAAAATGCTCCACATCATTATTCATCAAAGAAATGCAAAATCAAAACCACAATGAGATACCATCTTACACCAGTCAAAATGGCTATTATTAAAAAGCTCAGTAACTGAAGCCCCATACTTTCAGAATAAAGAAAAAAATAGTTAAAAAACAACAGATGCTGACAAGGCTGTTGAGAGGAGAGAATGCTTATATGCTGTTGATGGGAATGTAAATTAGTTCAGCTACTATGGAAAGCAGTGTGGAGATTTCTCAGGAACTTAAAGTAGAACTATCATTTGACCCAGCAATCCCTTTACTTGGTCTGTAGCCAAAAGAAAACAAATCATTCTACCAAAAAGACACATGCACTTGCATGTTTGTCACAGTACAATTCACAATAGCAAAGACATGGAATCGACCTAGGTTCCCATCAGTGGTGGACTGGATAGAGAAAATATGGTACACATACACCATGGAATACTACTCACCCATAAAAAACAATGAACTCATGTCCTTCACAGTAACATGGATGCAGCTGGGGGCCATTATCCTAAACAAATTAACCCAGGAACAGAAAACCAAATGCCATATTTTCTCACTGACAAATGGGAGTTAAACATCGGGTACTCATTGACATAATGATGGCAACAATAGACACTGGGGACTACTAGAGCAGGCAGAGCGGGAGGGAGACAAGGGCTGAAAAACTGTTGGGTGCTACACTCAGTCCTGGGTGACAGGATCGATCATACCCCAAACCTCAGCATCACACAGTATACCCACATAACAAACTGGCACATCACACAATATACCACCTGAATCTAAAGGAAAAGTTGAAATAATGAAAAAAAAATTTGTTCATAATGTTATTGTTAAATGATAATGTGAAATAAAGCTCTGGAGTTTGTTACACAAAATCTGTTGTCCATCACCATGAGAAATCTGTCTAAATCAATTTGAAGGCTTTTTTTTTTAAGGATGCTTCTCTAAGACCCCATTCTGTATTGCATGGGCTGTGGGGTTCTCAGTAGGGGTCTTGTTGCTATACACAGTCCTGACAGATATGCCTTCTGTCAGTTCAACAATAGCCTGACTCCCTTCACAGAGGTAAGTGCTCAATGAGAAGGTGCTCTGTTTCTTCCTTCCAGGTGCTTTTATTTTATTTCATGCTATTAATGGAACTTACTACTGAATAATGTTATTTCATGTGTATTGTTTGGTGACTGAGCAGAGAACTAACCATTTGCCATAACAAATATGTTGGTCTTTTTTCTAAACTTAAAGTTTAGAATTTAGAAAGTACCAATGTAACATGACCTTTTGCTATATATACATATGGTATACATATAGTAAATATATATAGTATATGTAAAATACATATAGTAAAATATATATACATATTTGTATATATACATATATACTATATATAGTAAAATATATCTAGTATATCTGTATATATAAATATATAATATATTATATTATATATTTTACTATATATAATATATTATATATATTTTACTATATATAATATATTATATATTTACTATATATAATATATTATATATATTTTACTATACATAATATATTATATATTTACTATATATAATATATTATATATATTTTACTATATATAATATATTATATATTTTACTATATATAATATATTATATATTTTACTATATATATAATATATTATATATATTTTAATATATATATAATATATTATATATATTTTACTATATATAATATATTATATATTTTACTATATATAATATATTATATATATTTTACTATATATAATATATTATATATATTTTACTATATATAATATATTATATATATTTTACTATATATAATATATTATATATATTTTACTATATATATAATATATTATATATATTTTACTATATATAATATGTTATATATATTTTACTATATATATAATATATTATATATATTTTACTATATATAATATATTATATATATTTTACTATATATATTATATTATATATATTTTACTATATATATAATATATTATATATATTTTACTATATATGTAATATATTATATATATTTTACTATATATGTAATATATATGTACCATATTATCGGGGAACCTGCCCCGATAATCACGTATGTTCTTTTCTATTTTCCTAAGCATCGGCTGGCTTGAGAAATAAAGGGACAGAGAACAAAAGAGAGAAACTTTAAAGCTGGGTGTCCGGGGGAGACATCACATTTTGGTAGGATCCGTGATGCCCCACAAGCCACAAAAACCAGCAAGTTTTTATTAGGGAGTTTCAAAAGGGGAGAGAGTATACGAATAGGTGTGAGTGACAGACATCAAGTACTTAACAGGGTAATGCAATATCACAAGGCAAGTGGAGGCAGGGCGAGATCAGAGGACCACAGGACCGAGGTGAAATTAAAATTGCTAATGAAGTTTTGGGCACCACTGTCATTGATAACATCTTATCAGGAGACAGGGTTTTGAGATCAACCGGTCTGACCAAAAGTTATTAGGTGGGAATTTCCTCTTCCTAATAAGCCTGGGAGCGCTATGGGAGACTGGAGTTTATTTCACCTCTGCAATCTCGACCATAAGAGACAGGTACACCCCGGGGGGGCCAGTTCAGAGACCTACCCCTAGGTGCGCATTCTCTTTCTCAGGGACGTTCCACGCTGAGAAAAAGAATTCAGCGATGTTTCTCCCATTTGCTTTTGAAAGAAGAGAAATATGGCTCTGTTCTGCCCGGCTCACCAGCGGTCAGAGTTTAAGATTATCTCTCTTATTCCCTGAACAATTGCTGTTATTCTGTTCTTTTTTCAGGGTGCCCACATTTCATATTGCTCAAACAGACATGCTGTACAATTTTTGTAGTTAATGCAATTATTACAGGGTCCTGGAATGATATACATCCTCCTCAACTGACAGGATTAAGAGATTAAAGTAAAGACAGGCATAGGAAATCACAAGGGTATTGATTGGGGAAGTGATAAGTGTCCATGAAATCTTTACAATTTATGTTTAGAGATTTCAGTAAAGACAGGCATAAGAAATTACAAAAGTATTAATTTGAGGAACTAATAAATGTCCATAAAATCTTCACAATCCACGTTCTTCTGTCATGGCTTCAGTCAGTCCCTCCGTTTGGGGTTCCTGACTTCCCGCAACACCATATACATATATAGTATACATACATATATACTGTATACATATATACTATACATATTTTACTATATATGTAATACATATGTATATATACATATATACTATATATATTTTACTATATATATAGTAAAAGGTCATGTTACTATATATGTGTATATATGTGTGTATATATATATTTACTATATATATATATATTTAACAAATACAAGACACTAAGTGCCAGACATTGTTTGTTCTTAGCACTTGACAAATATTAGCTCATGTAATCCTTACAATTCTGATATGAACTATTATTATGGCCCAAGGACACACAGCCAGTAAGTGGCAGAGCTTTAAATGAGCATTGTCCAGTTTCAGAATAAGTGGGGTCAGAAAATAGGATGTGACTTGCCACCAAGTGTCAAACCGCAGAGCTGTCTGTGCTCTTACAACTCTGAGGCATGAATAACTGAAGCATGACCCATATTTTCTCTGCCTGAAAACGAAGTTTGGCTATGGGGTGTGGATAAGTGTCTTAGAGTGAATAAACACTAGAAAGGTTACTGAGTGATGCACAGATTATCTTTTTGGACCTTTATAAAGGGGAGACAGATCCTTATAAAGGGGAGAGACAGATCTTTATAAAGGGGAGAGACAGATCTCTTTAGAATGACCTTGGGTTTGAAGTTTCTGCAGTAGAGAAATGAGTCTTGTTAATGTGATGATTTAAGTCTTCCAAAGAGGCTCCCATTGCATAAAATGTGATTATCATGAAGACTCCACAGCAGCATGAAAATAAATTATGAGATAATATGTCTCGAAAAGAGCAGAATATACAACTTTTTACCTAGTTACCTCTGGTTACCACTTTGAAAAACAAAAATCCCACGTCCGTAAACAAAGAAAAGAATGTAAAACAGGAGAGTCAAAGGTCTCTAGCGATGAGATTGTGCCTGATATCTCCCTCTTCTGTTTCCCTAATTGTGACTACCGGGTCCAGTCAATTTACATTCCTCTTAAAGTTTTGAAATTATGCTTGAAATTCCATTTGGGGAGCTTTAGATGTCCGGCCCCAAGGCACATTCTTTCAAATAAAGAAAATGATCCCGAAGTGATTCAAAACCCTGTCTGGTGACTAACAGGAGGAGTAAAGCTGGAAAGTAATGGGACTGTTTCCCCCATGTAGTTCCTGAACTGCCCCTGGCAACACTTCCTGAAGAAGCGCATCCATCACGCTTTTAGCAGTGCCACAGCAGAACACTGGGCAGCCTCCCAATGCGTCTACCCCTGAACAGTGTTCTGGATATGTGTGCAATGTTGGTTGAAAACCCCTTTCTTGTCACTTGCTAATCAGAGCACCTATGTCAAAGTATATATGCATATTTCTTTTTTGAGATGGAGTCTCACTCTGTAGCCCAAGCTGGAGTGCAATGGCATGATCTCGGCTCACTGCAACCTCCGCCTTTGGGGCTCAAGTGATTCTCGTTCCCCAGCCTCCGGCACAGCTGGGACTACAGGCACTGCCACCACACCCAGCTAATTTTTTGTATTTTATTAGAGTTGAGGTTTCACCATGTTGCCCAGGGTGGTCTTGAACTCCTGAGCTCAGGTGATCCACCTGCCTTGGCCTCCCCAGGTGTTGGGATTACAGGCATGAGCCACTGCGCCCGGCCAACAAGGTATATTCAGAAAAATTTCCCATTACAGAATTCTTCATTACATGCACAAGAAAGGCAACGCTAAAAAATGACATGTTTCAGAGATAAAAATCAGCATCTTATGACAGAAAGACCAGAGTTGCACAGAACCTGAACTAGAGAAAAGAAAACATGCAAGGCAGTCTTGGAGGTTTTATTCCAACACTTAGTGGTTTGCAAAAATTTTTGTCTGTCCTGTACAACTCTATGAGCTGCTATCCTATTCAAGGCCTATGTATCCCACTATATCAAGTGATAATCAAACGTATTCCCAAGCAGACTACGTGGGAGGGCTTGTCTAACACTCGTGTGATTCACGTTTCACATGTAGGTGCTTCCAAGGACTTGAGTCCCCTATTGGGGTCAGGATAGGCTCTACTCAATGTTCTATGTACTTCTCTATGTTTTTAATTTCTTTTAAAAACTGAAGTTTTTTTAGACCGTTTTGTCCAGATTTGATCCAGTGTTATCTACTCAAAATAAGCATCAAGAGCTACTATCACCTCAAATGACGATGAGTTCTTAGATTTTCACCCAATGTGAGTACATCCATACTTAGAGATAAAACAAGAGCTCTTTAGTGAGATAATGAGTGTGTCACAAGCAACCATTAGTCAAAACAAAATTCTACTTAATTGGCCAAAAGGTAAACGAAAAGGGTCACCTGCACCCGGCCAGGGTATATAAAGGGCCCAGAGGGGGAGGAGGACATTCACACCTGAGAACATCCAGCTCCTCTCCACAGCCCAACCCACACCAGCCTCAGACACCACCATGACCGGCTCCTGCTGCGGCTCCACCTTCTCCTCCCTGAGCTACGGGGGAGGCTGCTGCCAGCCCTGCTGCTGCCGCGACCCCTGCTGCTGCCGCCCCGTGACCTGCCAGACCACCGTGTGCCGCCCCGTGACCTGCGTGCCCCGCTGCACGCGCCCCATCTGCGAGCCCTGCCGCCGCCCGGTGTGCTGCGACCCCTGCTCCCTGCAGGAAGGCTGCTGCCGCCCCATCACCTGCTGCCCCTCGTCGTGCACGGCTGTGGTGTGCAGGCCCTGCTGCTGGGCCACCACCTGCTGCCAGCCTGTGTCTGTGCAGTCCCCCTGCTGCCGGCCCCCCTGCGGCCAGCCGACCCCTTGCAGCACCACCTGCAGGACCTCCTCCTGCTGAGCCACCACCTGCTGCCAGCCTGTGTCTGTGCAGTCCCCCTGCGGCCAGCCGACCCCTTGCAGCACCACCTGCAGGACCTCCTCCTGCTGAGCAGTGCACTGACTGCCCGGAACGCGTAACTCACCTTCTGAAAAAGTCACACTCCCATTTCTCTACTTTAACAAACCTCCTGCCCTGAGCCCACAAAACCCCACATCAACCAAGCAGGGAACCGAGCACTGGGCTCATCTATTAAGACCTGGGCCATTCTGAAGTCTGTAAAAGAAGCAATTTCCTTCTTCTTAAGATTTCGTGGCATGTTTATTTTCTAATAAATATCTGTTCTTTGGCCTTGCAAAAAGATTTGGTTTTATTTACTCATTCTAATATTTTGTATTAAATTAATTTTTTAATTAAAAAAACTGACACATAATTGTACATATTTATGGGGTGCAATGTAATGTTTCCATACATGTATACGTTGTGTAATAATCAAGTCAGGGTGTTTAGCATATTCGTCACCTCATACATTTATCATTTCTTCATGGTAAGATCATTTAAAATATTCTCTGATCGCTATTTTGAAATATATGATAAAATATTACTAACCACAGTCACCCTACTGTACATTAGAATACCAAAACTTATCCCTCCTATCTACCTGTAACTTTGTACCTGTAGACCAATCTCTGCCTATCCTCCCCTCCTCTCACCCTCCCCAGCCTCTGGTAGTCACTATTCTACTCTCTACTTCTATGAGATCAACTTCTTTAGATTTCACATAGGAGTGAGTGAATGTGCTATTTGTCTTTCTGTGCCTGGTTAATTTCACTTAACATAATGTCCCCCAGGTTCATCCATGTTGCTGCACATGACAGTATTTCATTCTTTTTCATGGCTGATAGTATTTCATTGTGTGTTTGGGTGTGAGTGTGTGTCACATTTTCTTTATCCATTCATCCATTGATGAACACTTAGATTGTTTTCATATGTTGGCTGTTGTGAATCGTGCTGCAATAAACATGGAAGTGCAGAAATCTCCTCAACATACTGATTTCATTTCCTTTGCGTATATACTCAGTAGTGGGATTCCTGGATCACATGATCGTCCTATTTTTAATTTTTGGGGAACCCTCCATACTGTTTTCCATAATGGCTATACTACTTTACATTCCCTCTAACCTTGTATGAGTTCCCTTTTTTCCACATCCACACCAGCATTTGTTATCTTTTTGTATTTTTGATAATAGCCATTCTAATTGTGGTGATATGGTATCTCATTGCGGTTTTGATTTGCATTTCCTGATGATTAGTGATGCTGAGCACTTCTTCATATATGTGTTGGAAATTTGTATGTTTTCTTTTGTGAAATATCTATTCAGGTCTTTTACCTATTTTTAATTGGATTTTTTATTATTATTCACTGTTGAGTTGTTCAAGTTCCTTATATATTCTAGATATTAACCCCTGGTCAGATGCATAGTTTGAAAATATTTTCTCCCAAATTTTTGCAATCTACTCATCTGACAAAGGGCTAATATCCAGAATCTACAAAGAACTCAAACAAATTTACAAGAAAAAAACAAACAACCCCATCAATAAGTGGGTGAAGGATATGAACAGACACTTCTCAAAAGAAGACATTTATGCAGCCAACAGACACATGAAAAAATGCTCATCATCACTGGCCATCAGAGAAATGCAAATCAAAACCACAATGAGATACCATCTCACACCAGTTAGAATGGTGATCATTAAAAAGTCAGGAAACAACAGGTGCTGGAGAGGATGTGGAGAAATAGGAACACTTTTACACTGTTGGTGGGACTGTAAACTAGTTCAACCATTGTGGAAGACAGTGTGGCGATTCCTCAGGGATCTAGAACTAGAAATACCATTTGACCCAGCCATCCCATTACTGGGTATATACCCAAAGGATTATAAATCATGCTGCTATAAAGATACATGCACATGTATGTTTATTGCAGCACTATTCACAATAGCAAAGACTTGGAACCAACCCAAATGTCCATCAATGATAGATTGGATTAAGAAAATGTGGCACATATACATGGAATACTATGCAGCCATAAAAAATGATGAGTTCATGTCCTTTGTAGGGACATGGATGAAGCTGGAAACCATCATTCTCAGCAAACTATCACAAGGACAGAAAACCAAACACCGCATGTTCTCACTCATAGGTGGGAATTGAACAATGAGAACACTTGGACACAGGAGGGGGAACATCACACACCGGGGACTGTTGTGTGGTGGGGGGAGGGGGGAGGGATAGCATTAGGAGATATACCTAATGTAAATGATGAGTTAATGGGTGCAGCACACCAACATGGCACACGTATACATATGTAACAAACCTGCACGTTGTGCACATGTACCCTAGAACTTAAAAGTATAATAAAAAAAAAAGTACCAAAAAAGAAAATATTTTCTCCCATTCTCTAGGCTGTCTCTTCACTCTGCTGATTTGATTGTTTCCTTTGCTGTGCAGAAGGTTTTAATTTTATATAATCCCATTTGTTTACTTTCACTTTTGTTGCCTGTGCCTTTGAGGTCTTATCCCCCCAAGAAAAAACCATTGCCCAGACAAGTGTCATAAAATGTTTCCTGTGGGTTTTCTTCTAGTTGTTTTATTATATGTGGTCTTATATTTAAGTATTTAATCCATTTTGGGTTGTTTTTAAATGAGTTAAGAAATAGGGTCTAAATGTGCTGCTTGCCTACCATATGCAAGTCACAGGCTATATGGTATAAAATAGAAAGTAAAATTGAATTAAAAATGTTCCCATCTTCAAAAAGATTCTAGAGACATGAGTCATATTCACCTATAATTCATCTAAAAACTAGAATATTAAAAAATAAAAGTACAACACTGTGTGGTGTCAACACAGAAGTCACTGTTGGTTGGGGAAAATAAGAAAGATTGAAAAGAGAAGCTAACATTTTATATAGGTTCAGATTGTGGTGTCCAGATCACAGGGATGGCATTCTCAGCAATAGAAATAGTATGAGCAAAGGTGTGGAGGGAGGGGAACCATAGGGTTGTTCAGAGTACGGTTTGGCTGGGGGCACTGGATATATATAGAGTGATAATGAAAGAAAGATTTGGAAAATTTGTATGCTTTGAATACTAGCCAACGGAGTACACCCTTAATGCAATAAGCAGTAAGGAGTTGTTGAAAGCTTTGGGGCAGGAAAATGGCATAACAAGAGCAGGGCATTGGGACAATTCTCATGATAGCTCCTTATAAAGACAGAGGTCAAAGGCCAGAGAAATGAGTCGTACAGAACTATACAGAAACTAATCAGGAAGATATTGCCTTGGTCAAGTGATTACAATAAGAGCTCAACTAAGATAATACCCATGGAATAAAGAAGACACAATGAGTATAGCAGATGTAGAAACCCAGAAAGTATATTAACTTAGTTGAATGTGGGAAACAAAAAACAACTAGGAGGCAAATGTGACTTATTCCAATTATAAGTCTCTGGTCCAGATACTTAAAAGAACTTTAACATATTTGTACTTATTTATTGTGTATTTAAAATCACTACTCCATAGTGCCATCTCTCTACCATCTAATATTTCTATTCTTGTGCTATTACAAAATACCTTTTTTTTTTAGAAAAAAAGACAAAGACAAAGAGCCTTACTAACATTAATTGATTCTGAAAAGCAGCATGGTATAAAATAAAAAGAACTGGTCTAGGAACAAGTGATAGGAATTTTATACCCAGCTCTTCTGGTTGTGTACTGTGTGAATGGAACAAGCCACTTAACCTCTTCAAGACTCAAGAGTATTCTAACATCAGCCGATGTTAAGTGAAAATGAAAAGTGCTCCATAGCACATCACCAATGTTCCCATTTAGAACTTTGAGACTAAATGGTTCTATACTCAACTCTTTTCCTTGATTAATCCCTCCTATTGCTACTACACTGATTTTTATACTAGAGCAAGATACAAAACAAATAGATGGGATCTTGCTTTCTGTATAAGCCTTTAGTGCTCTGGGCATAGTAGAAGTTAATAAATATGTGCTATTTATAATAAGAATGATGTCAGTTTCTACACCTATAAAATTAAGTGGTGGAACAAGATAATTTACTACATTTTTGATCTCCAACATTCATTGATTACATATAACCATTTTCAACTTCATACCTACAGTCATGGTTACCATATGACGTGAACATCTTTACTGAAGCTGGCATGAATCACATTGTGATATAACCCCATTCCTGTACAAACAAATGCCACCACCTCATAAAAAGCTAACTATGTGTTTCTATTCATGATTGGAAGGGAGAAATAAACCTACCCCAAGTAGAAATAATATGTTTTTGACCAGCCTTTTTTCATTTATCTCACGTAACCCTAAACTCCCAGTGAAAATTACATTCTTTCTTCTGGCAATGACCAGGAATTGTTTTAACTTTTATTTTGCTGAAATTTTTCTTAATCTCTTTGCATTTATTATACTACACCTCTTGAACTATATTTGGTCACCCATTTTCTAACCTGCCTTATAAAGCAGATAAAAGTATTTTCTAACTCTTGCTTTTTCTTTGATTTATTCCCTTTCCTAAATTCAGTTGTCATGCTCTTTGGTCTAATATCTTTTCACAGGACACATGGTTTAGTAACTTGAAATGACATAAATTAAAATTAAATTCTGCCTTTGAAAAATTATATGCCAGATAATCCATATACAAGTGATTTTTGTCTTTCATAGAGAAGTGTAAATTTTGTTAAAATATTTTGCAATTTTTTCCAATTACTGAATATGAATTTTAGCCTCTTTTTTAAGAGACATTGAAATTGAACAGGTTTTGTTTTATATATCCTCCTGAGTGATCAATGTTTCCTAAAATATGAATGTGAAGTTCAGGAGATATCACAGAAATTGGAAAGATTCCATTTCAGGGAAAAATCTATGAATTTCTATGAATATAGAGTTTATCAGAGTTTCTATCTGGCTAATAAGATTATATCGAGAGAGGATAATCTTATTAGTCTAAAAAATACAAAGCAGTCTTACATAAGGGCAATCATGATTAATAATTCTTTTCTGGAGACCTGAGGTTTGGTGAATATGATCTCCAAAATCACATCACCTTATGGGTGAGAGTCACTTTGTCAGGTGATATACCCACAAGTGCAAACCTGAAGCTGAAGCTCAAGTGGAAATTATACCATTGTTTGTAAACAAAATGTTAACATTTTTACCAAGGACAAACACATTTGGTGAGTATTAGCTGAGCAATAAGGAAAAATCAATTTTGAGATATATTTAAAACAATTCAGCATTTGAACCATCAGAGGGCCCTAGAAAGGCTGGTTTAAAGAGTAACAAGATAAAAATGTTGCTCGCCACAAATAGAGGAATTGGCCCAGACTTATAAAAAGCCGGCAGTGGAATAGGCAGCCATAATTCAGAAACTCCTCCAAGCAACCCAACCTTCAGATCAACTCCTGACACCATGGCCTGCTGTCAGACCAGCTTCTGTGGATTTCCCAGCTGCTCCACCAGTGGGACCTGCGGCTCCAGCTGCTGCCAGCCAAGCTGCTGTGAGACCAGCTCCTGCCAGCCACGCTGCTGTGAGACCAGCTGCTGCCAGCCAAGCTGCTGCCAGACCAGCTTCTGTGGATTTCCTAGCTTCTCAACCGGTGGGACTTGTGACTCTAGCTGCTGCCAGCCAAGCTGCTGTGAAACTAGCTGCTGCCAGCCAAGCTGCTACCAGACCAGCTCCTGCGGAACTGGCTGTGGCATTGGTGGTGGCATTGGCTATGGCCAGGAGGGCAGCAGTGGAGCTGTGAGCACCCGTATCAGGTGGTGCCGCCCAGACTGCCGTGTGGAGGGTACCTGCCTGCCCCCCTGCTGCGTGGTGAGCTGCACACCCCCATCCTGCTGCCAGCTGCACCACGCCGAGGCCTCCTGCTGCCGCCCATCCTACTGTGGACAGTCCTGTTGCCGCCCAGTCTGCTGCTGCTACTGCTCTGAGCCCACTTGTTGAAAACCTCCTTCTGCTGGGGATCCTGATAAGATGGCACCTTAAAACTAGCCAAATTAGAATCCTAACAATCTTCTGAACTCCAGTACCTATAACTGGGCTTGCAACCTCTCATCACACAGCCACATAAATTCCCTAGGAAGTAAATTCATTTACAATGGAAGACCAAAAATTTTTCCTAGACCTGGTTGTCAGCCAAAGTCCTACAATGTGAAAAGAGTTAGATACTATTTTACTATAAATATCACCTGAAATATTTCAACAGTTATTGGGACTTAAATTTAATAAAAGTTTTCATCTCTTCAATGATGAAGTTGTTGTTTGAACTTTCTTTGCTTTGGAATTTATTAACAATATTGGGGTACTGGGATTTTTCAAAATATCAACATGACATGACACTATGGTTTTTCTGTACTTTTGCTCTTTTAATGATGATATTTAACAGCAATTTTCCTTTGTTTTACCATTAAATGGTCCAATATTTTGCAGCCAAGACATATGATTAAAGGAACTTGACAACATTTAGGAACTGTTTCCTAAGGTCCTCTCATGTGCAAAGTGGTGGGCTAGGTATTCCAACAGATTGATTCAGCTTCTTGAGGTTTTGCCAAATCTATTCATTCATCCATTCATATATGAGGTTGTATACAATTATTTCTGTCCTCCAAGATATACAAAAGCATAATAAAAATTGTGAAAGAATACAAACACAAGATTACAGAGTAATAGCATGTAACGAATATACACATTTCATTCAAGGTCTAGGCTCATAACTCCCATAGCCCTTTTATTGATGTTAGGGCACTTTACACTTCAGAAGCAGGCCTCAGAAAACAGAATCTCTCTCTCTCTCGCTCTCGCTCACTCACTTGCTCTTGCTCTCTCTCTCTCTCTGGCCTTCTCCCCACCTCTTTTCACCTGCTCCTTTTACTCCTCAAGGCAAGAATCTTCCCCCACTGTTCTTGGCACTGGCCATCAAGATATTCTCCTACCTACCTTGCCTGATTGTAGGTCATAAGATCCCCATTTCAGAAGAGGTTCTGCCCCATGCCCTGGAGGAAGGAAGGCTGCATAGAGAGACCAAGAAGGATCTGACAGACAGGTTTCATCACTCACTCTACTAACATTAGATCATACTCTTTTTGTCCAATCACGTTTCTAATGGTTGTCCATCATGCCCATCCACTGAAGTCCCCGTAAAATGTTCAAAAAAAAAAAAAAAAAAAAACCCACAGAGTTTGAGGAGCTTCCAGATAGCTGAATGTGTGGAGGTTCCTGGAATGTGCTGTTCCCAGAGAGGTTATGAAAGCTCCTCATACCCCTTCCCCCACACCTCACCCTATGCATCTCTTCTTCTGTGCCATTTGTAATTGTCTTTATAATAAACCAATAAGCTAAATGTTTCCCTGAGTCCTGGGACCTGCCCTAGCACATTCATCAAACTTGAGGGTGTCATGGAATTCCCAATTTATGGCTGGTTGGTCAGAAGCACAGGCAAAACAACCTGGAGCTTGTGCTTGGCACTGGAAGTAGGGGGCAGTCTTACAGAACTGAGCCCTCCCCCTGTAAAACCTGACACTATCACCAAGTAAATAGCGTTAGAATGGAATTGGAGTGGAAAACATGCAGCTGGTATCTGCTGCAGAATTTATTTCCTTGCTTCTTGATGGGGAGAAATCCCCACACATTAGCCACAGAAATCTTCTGTGTTGATTGTTGTTGAGTGAGAGAGTAGAAAGAACATTTGAGTGTGTTTTTTTTTCCTTCTACCCAATAGCATAAGATGTAAAAATAGCTTATGCTATTGGGTAGAAGAACAAAAAGCTAAATCAAGACTCCTGAGTTCTAGTCCCAACTTTGTAACTAGCTATCCATGAATCCTTGAGCAAGTCCCTTCACTTGCCTGGGTACCTATTTCTAATTTGGGAAATGAGAGAATTGAGTCATTACTGACAACATCCCTTCCAGGCATAAGAGGGTAGATAATTTCCTAAACAGGCTACACACTGACCAGTAATAGCTTCAGATGCCCAAAGAGGAAAAAATATACAGTGGTCAAATTATGTTGTATGCTTTATCACCTTTTTGCAAGTTTATAAAGCCACACTGGAATATTAAAGGGACTGAGATGGCCTGCAATAAATAAAGCTCTACAACCAGTGGCCGGGCTCAGTGGCTCACACCTGTCATCCTAGCACTTCCGGAGGCTGAGGCAGGTGGATCACCTGAGGTCACAAGTTCGAGACCAGCATGACAAACATGGCAAAACCCCGTGTCTACTAAAAATACAAAAATTAGCCAGGCGTCATGGCGGGCACCTGTGGTCTTACAGGCTGAAGCAGGAGAATCACTTGAATCCAGGAGGTGGAGGTTGCGGTGAAACAAGATCGCGCCACTACACTACAGCCTGGGTGACAGAGTGAGAGTCCATCTCAAAAAAAAAAAAAAAGAAAAAGAAAAGAAAAAAAAAACAACTCTATAACCATCACTCCCAAACTAACTTAGCCAGAAAACTCTCTATTTTTATGTTACCTGTTAACACCCTGTAACACAAATACTCCTCAAAATATACTTTGAAAAATGATGAAAGGGAGTATCAACTGATGTTTTTATAATACCTGTATAATCTTCTTATGTATTGTGAAGCAGAAAATAAATGTTCACTGCAAGGATGGATTTAAATACTGTCACTGTTCTTATTCTAATTTTCAGAGAGAGTTCTAGATGAAGCAAGCATTAAATAAAAGACGCATAGTGAGGCTTTCATTCCAAGGGATAAAATCTTTTGTCATTAAATCAAAGTGGTGAGCCAGTGCCTGGGGGTAGAGGGGTATGGGAAGTGATTGCTTAAAGGTCATGGGGGTGTTCTTCTGCGATGATGGAAAAGTTTTTGAAGCTAGAGAGAGATGATGTTGCCCAATATTATAAATATACTATATGTCACTCAATTATACACTTTAAAATGGTTAATTGTAGGTTATGTGAATTTAACCTCCATTTTAAAAAATCAAAAGAACAGGACCTCTGCTAGCACAACTTTAAAAGAATTAGGAAAAGGCACCACTTTGGAGAAGATACAGACAGAGGAGTGCACAGTTTGTTGAGCCTCCAGCTTGATGTAAGAAATAATATGCTCCTTCCTCTGAGTGGACAGAGCCACACATCAGGGCGCGACCTGTACATCTATACACAATGGCCCTACAATGTAGTCAACATTTTATTCCCCTCATTTAGAGCTCTGTTGTCTCTGAGAGGGTTTAGGTTGGATGTACCTTTTAATTAAAAGGACTTTGGCTCAGAAGCACCCCAAAAAATCCTGGTTGGCATTCAGGAGGGAAGAGATAGATCTTGTGACTTGGCTTAGGATAAAAGTTGGTAGTAAGAGGAGGTCCTTGAAGTTTATGTGTTATCTGGTCTAGATTACTAGGATGGAAGCCCAGAGCAGAAGCACAGAAGCCCTACATAGGAATGTTGTATTCATTTGACTGGTACATCAATCATGTTTTATTTCTCGAGAATCTAAGTAAGGCAGTCACAACCGAATTAGAGAACTAGTAAAACGGAGATGAAGAAATTGGGAGAATCCCCAGAACTTGTAACTAGAAAACCAGAACCATGATATCTTAAAGAAAAATAATTTCAAACATTAGTGTCTGTGTTAAACCAAAGCCACGTTCAGGAATAACAGACAAACACATTCTTTCTTCTTATGGTACTGGAATGGTCTACAGCCCATCACTTAAATGAAGTAATGAATGCCAGAGGGAATCAGCACAGTAATAAGAAATGTGGTATATACACACAACGGAATACTATTGAGTCTATAAAAAGCAGGAAATTCGGTCACATATTACAACATACCTAAACTTGAAGGATATAATGTAAAGTGAAATAAAATAAATTTCATTTTCTTAATTTACTTAGAGGAGGTAAGGGAATGTTCAGATTAGTCTTCGTTCTGTGGCACAGGAGTCAAATTCTCAAGTAAGTGTCATACCTTAAATTTTGCATTGAGGAAGATGTTGAAAATAGTGCCACAGTAGAAAAGCCCAGAAAGGGAGAACTGATATGCAACGCCACTGTCTCCAGTGCTCTTATCAATAATGTATTTCAGGTCCTCAGATATCTGAGCCTTTTGCAAAAGGAGATACATCTGTTTAGTATCAAAGATTCTGCTAAATTTAGATCTGAATTAAATAGCTCCCGAGATTGTTGTCATGACACACCCACGTATTTCAAGCATCCAACATAAAAAATATTAGCTAATCAAAGAATCTGTGATGTAGCTTTGCTTAAGAAGAAGCAAGGAATTCACAAAGAATCATATCTTTTAAACCAAATTTGATGTGGGATTTGAAAATATGTCTTAATTCTGACTCAGAAAGAGTTATGATGTAAACTCAAAGCTGTCATTTCTAGAGAAGCAGAACTACCACTTGGTGTTCTGGTTCAAAATCCAAGAGTAGCATCGTAACTTGCATTTCTCAGTAATGAACCCATACTCCATGGAGGCCTGGTCACCTTTTATTGCATCTAAACAAAACCTTTATATTCACCGTCATCAGCTGTCTCATTCAAATTATATAAACTTTCCAGTTCACTGGATTAGTCTCTAATATCTATAATAAACTGCATACAGCCGATCTAACACTCTGTAGTAAATCACATACTCCAGTATTAATATGTTAAAAACTATAATTTTATGCAGTTAAAAAATCTAAATCTATAGAATATCCTAAGATAAAAGATGAGACAAAGTCACAAGAAGGTTAACTTTTTTAGCACTTAAGATTTTCTTGAACTGTGCTTATTATGCTGTTAATAAATAAATAAAATCTCTAGGAATGGCTGTAGTAAACTGTGTTATTACTTACCCTAAGCTCTCCCTTCCTTCCTTTTACTCTCAAAAAAGTCCGTAAGAAAGGAAGCAAATTTTTACGGCTTGCTTTCACCATTGGAATTTCCTTAGAATGACTTTTTACATAAAAAAAGAAGAAAGGAAAGAAAGAAAGGAGAAAGAAGAAAAAGAAAGAAAGAAAGAAAGAAAGAAAGAAAGAAAGAAAGAAAGAAAGGAAGGAAGGAAGGAAGGAAGGAAGGAAGGAAGGAAGGAAAGAAAGAAAGAAAGGAAAGAAAGAAAGAAAGAAGGAAAGAAAGAAAGAAAGAAAGAAAGAAAGAAAGAAAGAAAGAAAGAAGAAAGGAGGGAAGGAAGGAAGGAAGGGAGAAAGACAGAGAGAAAGAGAGAAAGAATTGACTATAGTGTTTAAAGAGTTTAGTCTGGAATCAGAGGTTGTGGATTCAAATTTCAGATTCACTAGATACTAGTGTGAACTAGGGTAAGTTACTTCAACCTGTTGTGGCTCAGTTTTCTCACATGGTTGATGGGAGTGGCAGTGATACCTAGCCCATAGATTGCCGTGAAAATTCAGCAAATTGATACATGCGAAGTACTCAGAACTATTTAGGCACATAATCAGTGATGGGAAAATGTTATCAATAGCAATTAATGCAAATCTCCCAGGCCCAAGAAAGCATCCCTTTCTGGCCAGCTGAATATAGTCTTGCTTCACAGTCAAAGGGAAGATAAGAAAGTTAGAGAAGGAGCCACAGTTAAAATTGGAGGGAATTAAACTGTCATGTGAGACCCAATCACCCAGTTGTAAGGGTCAACACTGAGTAATATTGACAATCCTTAAAGGTGAGGCATCAGTCAATTATTCCTTGACCATGAGGAAATTTTAAGAAACATGAGGAGTTAGGGATCATATTCCTAATTAATGCCAATGACTTCTTGACCATGGTAAAGAAGCCTAATTGCAGACCAAATACAATCAACTTTCAAAGGCTCTCAGTAGGTTCAACAAATAATTCAGGGAGAGGCCAATTATCATTCAGAGACAAATTATCCAACACAAATAAGCAAGAGACTTCTGGAATTATGTAAACAGTAGCTGGCCCAGGCTTATAAAAGGCCCAATGTGGCAGCCATCACCAAAACTCAGAAACTCCTCCAAGCAACCCAGACTTCATACCAGCTCCCAACACCATGACCTGCTGCCAGACCAGCTTCTGTGGATATCCCAGCTGCTCCACCAGTGGGACATGCGGCTCCAGCTGCTGCCAGCCAAGCTGCTGTGAGACCAGCTGCTGCCAGCCAAGCTGCTGCCAGACCAGCTTCTGCGGATTTCCTAGCTTCTCAACTAGTGGGACCTGCAGCTCCAGTTGCTGCCAGCCAAGCTGCTGTGAGACCAGCTGCTGCCAGCCAAGCTGCTGCCAGACCAGCTCCTGCGGAACTGGCTGTGGCATTGGTGGTGGCATTGGCTATGGCCAGGAGGGCAGCAGTGGAGCTGTGAGCACCCGTATCAGGTGGTGCCGCCCAGACTGCCGTGTGGAGGGTACCTGCCTGCCCCCCTGCTGTGTGGTGAGCTGCACACCCCCAACCTGCTGCCAGCTGCACCACGCCGAGGCCTCCTGCTGCCGCCCATCCTACTGTGGACAGTCCTGCTGCCGCCCAGTCTGCTGCTGCTACTCCTGTGAGCCCACCTGCTAAAAGCCAGTTTGCTGATTTTCAACTTGAAATTTCCACTTTCAGTTCCATTCATGAACGAATTATTTCTTCAAGCACTTATGGACAACGAACAAATTCTTCAACCTTTCTTTGTCTTTCTTATGGGGGTTACCAAATATTTTGGCCTCAGAATTATCTGATTCCTTTCAATTCCAGAAAGACCTTACTCTTCTCTCTGAGGACGCCAAAATACAAATTTGACCCAAGAAATGAAAAAGCCGATTTACCTTGAAACTGAGCCTTTGCAAGCATTGAAGCCCACGCTCTGAGTCTCAGCGCCGACGAGACCATGGAAGAGCCATCTGTCCTTCTCAGGACACTCACTTCCTGTATCCCACCGTCCTGCAAATTGCACCCCCTATGAAAGAGGAATAATATACCAAGGTCTAATAAATTTTAACTATTGGTGCAACAAACATATCTTTTTTTTTTCATTGAGTGTACTCAGGATGTATATTTCATAGAATGTCATATGAAAAACTTTAATCTGCTTTTGATATCCCTTCTCTTCTAATACCACATTAGGAAATTTGTTATCCAGAGGTCCAGTGGAGGTTAATGACCATAAAAACATAGAGTAAGTGTAGTTATTTAGGGCCTCAGAAATGGCAAAGGCTCTGTTACCATAACTTAACCTTACACAGTGCTTTCACAACCAGGAAGTTACAGAAATCAAAATCTCTGGCTGGGTACGGTGGCTCACACCTGTAATCCCAGCATTTTGGGAGGCCAAGGTAGACAGATCACGAGGTCGGGAGTTTGAGATCAGCTTGGCCAACATGGTGAAACCCCATCTCTACTAAAAAAAATAAATTGCATTTCTATATACTAACCATGAAAAATCTGTAAGGAAAATTTTAAAAACAATTCCATCAAAAGAATAAAATACTTATGGCCGGGCATGGTGGCTCATGCCTGTAATCCCAGCACTTTGGTAAGCTGAGGTGGGCAGATCACCTGAGGTTAGGAGCTCAAGTCCAGCCTGGCCAATATAGTGAAACCCTGTCTCTACTAAAAATACAAAAATTAGCCAGGCATGTTCGTGGATGCCTGTGGTCCCAGCTACTGGGGAGGCTGAGGCATGAGAATTGCTTGAACCCAGGAGGTGGAGGTTACAGTGAGCCAAGATTGTGCCACTTCACTCCAGCCTGGGTGACAGAGTGAGACTCCATTTCAAATAATAATAATAATAATAAAATAAAGAATAAAATACTTAGGAACAAACTTAGCCTTGGAGGGGAAAGACTCGTACACCAGAAACTACAAAATGTTACTGAAAGAAATTAAAGAAGACACAAATAAATGAAAAGACATCCTGAGATCATGGATTATAGGATTTAATATTGTTAAGATGTCAATACTACCCAGAGAATCTACAGATTTAACGCAATCCCTATAAAAATCCCAATGATGTTTTTGCAGAAATTTTAAAAAAATCCATCCTAAAATACATATGAAATTAGAAGGGGTCCTATATAGCCAAAACAATCTTAAAAAAGAACAAAGTTGGTCTCACATTTTCCTGTTTCAAAATTTACTGTAAAGCTACAGTAATCATAACAGTGTGATACTGATATAAAGACAGATATATAAAGCAATGGAAAAGAACAGAGAGCCTAGAAATAAACCCTCAAATACACATATGGTTAAATGAGTTCATTTATTTATTTATTTGAATTGACAAAAATTATATGTATTTATTGTGTACAACACATTTTTTTGGAATATGTATACTTCGTACAATGGCTAAATCAAACTAATTAACATATGCATTACCTCACATAAGTTTTTTTGTAGTGAAAACACAAAATCTACTCTCTTAGCAATTTTCAGGACTGTAACATATTGTTATGAACTATAGTCTCTATGTTGTACAATAGATCTCTTGAATTTATTCCTCTTATCTAACTGAAATTTTGTAATCCTTTGACCAACATCTTCCCAACACACTCCACCACCACCCTACCCCCGGTAACCACCATTCTACTTTCTACTTCCATGAATTCAACTTTTTCTTTTTTTTGAGGTTTTTTTGTTTTTATTATACTTTAAGTTCTAGGGTACATGTGCACAACTTGCAGGTTTGTTGCATATGTATACATGTGCCATGTTGGTGTGCTGCACCCAATAACTTGTCATTTACATTAAGTTCCACTTGTAAGTGAGAAAGTGCAATATTAGTCTTTTTCTTTGTCTGACTTATTTCACTTAGTATAATGTTCTCAAGTTTAATCTGTTGCCCCAAATAGCAGGATTTCCTTCTTTTATGACCAATAATATTCCAGTGTGTGAGTGTGTGTGTGTGTATGTGTGTGTGTATCACATTTTCTTTATCCACTCATTTAATGATGGACATGGACACTTAGGTTGCTTCCATATCTTGGCTATTGTGAGTAATGCTGCAATGAACATGGGAATGCAGATGTCTCTTCAAAATACTGATTTACTTTCCTTCGGGTATATACACAGAAGTGGGATTGCTTGATTATATGACAGTTCTATTTTTAATTTTCTGATGAACCTTCATATTGTTTTCCATAATGGCTGTACTAATTTACATTTCCACCAACAGTGTGCCAGAGTTCTCTTTTCTCCACTTCCTCTCCAACACTTGCTATCTTTTGTCTTTTTGATAATAACTATCTAATATGTGTGAGACGATATCTCATTGTGGTTTCAATTTGCATTATCCGATGATTGGTGATTTTGAAAATTTTTCATATACCTGTTGGCAATTTGTAGATTTTTTTTGAGAAATGTCTATTTAGATTTTTTGCCCATTTTTCAATTACGTTATTTGTTTTCTTACTACAGGTATTGAGTTGTTTGAGTTTCCTCTATACTTTGGATATTAACCCTTTATCAGATATGTGGTTTATAAATATTTTCTCCCATTCAGCGGTTTGCGTCTTCACTCAGTTTAGTGTTTTATTGGCTGTGCAGAAGCTTTTTAGTTTGATGTAATCCCACTTGTCTATTTTTGCTGATGCTTTTGGATTCATGTTCACAATATCACAATATTGGCCAGGCAAAAGTCATGGAGTTTCCTCTGTTTTCTTCTTATAGTTTTATCATTTTGAGTCTTTCTTACATTTCAGTCTTTTAATCCATTCTAAGTTGGTTTTTGTATATAATGTGAGACAATGGTCTAATTTCATTTCTTCTGAATGTGAATGTGGTCAAATGATTTTCAACAAGGGTGACAAGACTATTTACAAATGGTTAAGATGGTTAATGTAAATGGTTCATAAATTTTATGGTATGTATATTTTACCACAATTAAAAATTTGTAACTATAAACATGTGTAGGAGACCCAAACTTTTCTGAAATAGAAGATATATATGTATATATGCTGGTTTATATTTGCAGAAGCAAGGATAAAGGTGTCAAAGAATGTGCACCAAATTCTTAATATTGATTACCTCTAGAGCATTAGTTTTGGAAGAGATGTGTGCATCTTCCAGGAAGGGAAAAGACACTAATTTTTCTTTATATACCTCTGTACTCTTTGACTTGTTACAATGTGTACTCATTACTAGCACATATGTTTAATTTAATAGAGTCAGAAAACAATCTACAAGCAAAAGTCATTAAAGATTTTAGTTAGCAATTTGTACATTCACTATTACTGAAGGCAAGAATATTAGATAGAGCTCTGAGGATCCTATAACTTGCACAAATTGATCATAGAAAGGCATACTTGGTTTGAAAGTTGATACATCAGGTTGTAGTTCATGTTTTGATGACACTAATGTTAGTCTTTCCAAGTCTGGACAAATTGTTTATAAAATCATGATCATAGTTAAGTGACCATTTAAGGAAAAATGATCAGTTAAGATAAATTCTGCCTAAAGGTTATCAAAGGACAACTATGACAAAACGTGCCAGGGCGACACTTGGCTCAAGGCTAGTCTGTCATGTGACTTGCATAAAGAGGCACTTCGGTGCTTGGCTTCCATGATGAGCCTTCACTTCGCCCAGAGGGCAAAGAAGAAACATAATGAGACTTAATTGTACAATGGAAAAAGGCTATTGAAATGCTATTTATAACTTTATAAACACCTCAGGTATTAGCCAGAGACTCACACTGAAATTGACATCAAGAAAAGGTGTTGGGTAAATATGCAGCTCTAGGGAACATATCAAAGGACAGATATAGAAGGTACAGCCCAAACTCAGAAACCTCTCTTAACACAGCTCTCAACCCAACTCCTGACACCATGGCCAGCTGTTCCACCAGTGGGACCTGTGGCTCCAGCTGCTGCCAGCCAAGCTGCTGTGAAACTAGCTGCTGCCAGCCAAGCTGCTGCCAGACCAGCTCCTGCGGAACCGGCTGTGGCATTGGTGGTGGCATTGGCTATGGCCAGGAGGGCAGCGGTGGATCTGTGAGCACCCGTATCAGGTGGTGCCACCCAGATTGCCACGTGGAGGGCACCTGCCTGCCCCCCTGCTACCTGGTAAGCTGCACACCCCCATCCTGCTGCCAGCTGCACCACGCCGAGGCCTCCTGCTGCCGCCCGTCCTACTGTGGACAGTCCTGCTGCCGCCCAGCCTGCTGCTGCCACTGCTGTGAGCCCACCTGCTAAAAGCCAGGTTGCTGATCGCTTAAGAATGAAAGGGGAAGCACAGCAAAATTGTGCTGATTTCTGAAGAACTGTTCGATTTTACTTGGATGCTAAGTACCATGATGTTGTTAAGCTGCTCAGAGATAATGAAACTCCTAGTTAGGACACTGTGGATGTGCCGAATTCACTTACTGAAAGATGTATCAATCAGTGTTCTGGATAGCTTGCGTTGCTTGAGCAGAGGACCAGGATGGAATAGTTCATCATTTCAGTGACATCTCTGCTCCCCCAACTCTCTCTTGATGCTCATGCATCTTCAGACCTGGTTTTTCCTTGAATATCTCTGATTAATCCAAATAAAATGTTTTAATGTGCAAAGCAAACTGAGTTATGTCCTCCTTCTACCTTTAAACATGTCTTCTTGTAGCTGGTATTCAAGAGTGGATTTGCAATTTGATAATAATACCAAGGCATAACCATAAAGTCTAAACCAGAAAGATTAAATACAAAGTAAATTATGCTTGAATCCATCAGCTTAAAAATGCTCCATGAATTAAAGAATTTTTATAGTTCAAATATTTACATGCTCTAATCTATTATGATTAGGTCTAGACCAATAAAGGTTGACCTTTAGCTAAAATGTTAAGGTTGATCAAAGCTATTGATTTCTATCTAAATGTAATTCTACCATCTTTTGTCTCCTTCCATTTAATATACTAAATGTTCTCCTTCATTTATGCCCCAAAATCTAAAGAAATTGCATTACCTTCTAAATAGATTTAAAAATAGCTACTAGATACTACCTATTTTCCAAGAGAATTTAGGTTTAATTTCTACACCTTAGCCTTTCACATTCTTCCCACTGATCCTTGAATTGCTCTCTAAGCTTCAACTCCCACTATTCACCTTCATTTGATGTACGTATGCATAAGGTGTATCTTTGGTCTAAATGATAGTAGAAGAAACAGCTATAGAGAGCACCCGCTGAGTTCTACCATTGCCATTTGTCAGACAGAAGTGTTAGAAATCTGAAACAGCTCGATTATATTTTGCACTTTGCAACCCAACTTAAAAGATATTCTCTTAAGAAGTTAACACGCTGGACACGGTGGCTTACGCCTGTAATCCCAGCACTTTGGGAGGCTGAGATGGGTGGATCACGAGGTCAGGAGATTGAGACCATCCTGACTAATATGGTGAAACCCAGTCTTTACTAAAAATACAAAAAAAAAATTAGTCAGGTGTGGTCGTGGGTGCCTGCAGTCCCAGCTACTTGGGAGGCTGAGGCAGGAGTATGGCGTGAACCTGGGAGGCAGAGCTTGCAGTGAGCCAAGATCACGCCACTGCACTCCAGCCTGGGCAACAAGCAAGACTCTGTCTCAAAAAAAAAAATTAACACAACCTAGAACAAAACAAAACATATTTTACCATTTAATTTTTAAATTCTTCATTAGGCATTAGAGTGTAATACACAAAATACAATAGGATGCAAATATAGAAAGAAACACGTTTTCCACATTATTTACAAGCTCCCAGAACTTACCTCTATATTTAATTGGTAGCAATGATGGATTACACACAAAATTATGCAATTTCCAAGAGGAATAAAGTAGATGGCAGTACATTTTTCAAAGTGTCATAACTCCTAGATATTTTTTCCCGAGCCCGGTTCCACTACTAAATCCAAAAAATAAAATAAAATAAACCAAAAAACACATTTCCTAGTCTCTTTACAGCAAATAACAAGACTCTTTCATGAGAAGTACTACAGCTTGAAAGTTCTCTTTAATCATGTTTGAGTGGTATTGATATCCATGAATCAAGCCTTTTACTCCACCTATTCAATAAACATTTATTGAATCAGATTCAGTAAACATTTATTAAGGTTCTACCACAAACTAAGGACTCTGCTGGATACCTTCCTAAATACTATGTCAGTTTGGTTCCCAAGAACAGATTTCTGGTCTGGAACAGGAATAATAGTCACACATTCCAAATTGGTTGAAATCAAAGGAACTATAATCGGTAATTCAATAAGACATTGGAACAAAAAAAGGTGAAATCTGCGAATTATGTATGACCAAAGGTATTCCTTCAGTTCAGTAGATATCCAGATATCCAAAATTCAATAAAATTTAGTCTATATATCTAGGAGGAAAAAATAATAGTTAAATATAACAGCACAATTATTACTCTTAGCCTTAGAGGTATGGATAGATTGTCACGTGGAATAACTATTATGTAAAATGAGAGCATTCATTTGGACTAAAATGGAAGTACTCTTTGAACATGGGAAACCACAAACATATTCCAAAGAGCAAAGGACTGATATGAGGAGTCCAGAAGAAACTATAAAACAGTAATTTCTAAACTATTGCTCATAATGTGTCACAAGTATTTCAACATAAGCCAATCAGAGATCCACGGAGTAACAAATTTAAACAAAAACAAAGAAAATATGTTAACAATTTTGTAAACAGCAGCTGGTTCAGATATATAAAAGGACCAACGTGGAAGTCACCACCAAACCTCAGAAACTCCTCCAAGCAACCTAACTCTTAACCCAACTTCTGACACCATGACCTGCTGCCAGACCAGCTTCTGTGGATATCCCAGCTTCTCCATCAGTGGGACCTGTGGCTCCAGCTGCTGCCAGCCAAGCTGCTGTGAGACCAGCTGCTGCCAGCCACGCAGCTGCCAGACTAGCTTCTGCGGATTTCCCAGCTTCTCAACCAGTGGGACCTGCAGCTCCAGTTGCTGCCAGCCAAGCTGCTGTGAGACCAGCTGCTGCCAGCCAAGCTGCTGTGAGACCAGCTGCTGCCAGCCAAGCTGCTGCCAGATCAGCTCCTGCGGAACTGGCTGTGGCATTGGTGGTGGCATCAGCTATGGCCAGGAGGGCAGCAGTGGAGCTGTGAGCACCCGTATCAGGTGGTGCCGCCCAGACAGTCGTGTGGAGGGCACCTACCTACCCCCCTGCTGTGTGGTGAGCTGCACGCCCCCATCCTGCTGCCAACTGCACCATGCCCAGGCCTCCTGCTGCCGCCCGTCCTACTGTGGACAGTCCTGCTGCCGCCCAGTCTGCTGCTGTGAGCCCACTTGCTGAAAGCCAGTTTGCTTATTTTCAATTGCCTAGGTCACAGTGTCTCTGAACTGTTCATCCCTTGACCACCTCTGGACCACTAACAAGTTCTCAGACTTTGCATTGCTTGTGATGGAGACTACTAAGTATATGAGCTCACAATTCTATCTGATTCCATTCTACAATGAATACCTTGACCCTTCACTGGGGACACAGAAATGCTACAAAGCCACCTGCTGATCATCAATTTGCTTGGGATATACTATTTCTGATATTTCTGCAGGATTAAAAATTACTGACATGTTGTGGAATTTATCCATGAGAACTATCCACAAGTCTAATGTTTCCATGCTTTATAATCTATTTTATCTTGTTTACCTAAAATTTTTTGCAACATCAAAGACACCAAATTATAGCCAAGTGACATTCCTCAAGTCACCAGAGAGAATGGAAGCTCATCACCCAACATTCAGCTTCTAAGAAGTAGGCTGGACTTTCCACATTTTAACATCTGATCCATCCCTTGGTTTTTGGATCATAATGATCTTGCCTGCTGGATATTTCAGTTATATCTGTGATACAATGTCTTCTGTCATTTCTTAATAAATATTATATACTAGGCAAAGAAACCATTGTCTTTGTTTTCACTTGTACATCACCTGGTTTAACTGCTTATAATTCAAGAATGTCTACTTGAGGCCAAGAGCAGTGGTTCACACCTGTAATCCTAGCATTTTGGGAGGCTGAGGTGAGTGGATTACCTGAGCTCACGAGTTTGAGACCAGCCTGGGCAACATGGTGAAACCCTGTCTCTACTAAAAATACAAAAAAAAAAAAAAAAAATTAGCTGGGCGTGGTAGTGCACACCTGTAGTCCCAGCTACTTGGGAGGCTGAGGAAGGAGAATCGCTTGAACCCAGGAGGCAGAGGTTTCAGTGAGCTAAGATCATGCTACTGCACTCCATTACACTATGCAATAAACTGCAGCAAGCTCTCAAAATGGCAATTTCCTATATATGACACCAAAGAAGACATAAAGTGCATTAAAAAGTTAAGTAATGGTAAAAAGACACATATTTCCAAGTCGAAAGCAAATGTGGGAGCTTTTCTTTTATTGAGGATCATTGGCCATGTAAGGGTAGGTGGACAACGAAAGGGATGAAGCAAGATGAATTAAGGTATCGAAGGATGGAGACAAGAATGAAAAGGGGGAGAAGAGAACAAAATATAGGAGAAAAGACAGAGAGAAGACACAGTGAAAAAGGCTAGGTATGAGAGGCTGAAAGAAAAGGAGGAAGAGTGATGGAGAAGACACACCTGAAGGGAAAGGAGGTGAACCAGCGTGGCCTTGTTAGTACCATATGCTGTGCATGTGCCAGGTACACATCATGCGAACTTTGCTTCACATAACATCTATACTGATCCTGTGAAATAGATATTGTGATCCTGGCTTGTAGATAAGTAAGTCTAAAAGAAGTTAAATAGCTTGCTTACAGTCACATAGCTCATAAGTTTAGAAACAAAACTGAAATCTGAATGCAACTCTGTCTGACTCCAAAATTTATGGAGAGAATGAAATTAAGAAAATAGATATAAAGAAACGTGTGGGAAAGTTTGTAAGATTTAAAGACGGCTATTTCAGAGACTGTGGGCTTCAGAATAAGTTACTCTGTGCTGCTGGTTAAGTTGTGGTCTCAGAACTCCACATCCTCCCTACGATACTCAGCTTTATGATGTTAGTGATGAAATCTGCAAGCCACATTGTTGCTTTTCCAGCTCTCCATATTAGGCCTTGCTCCAGCCAGCCAGCACCCCATCCTCAGAATTCTGAGTCAGGTCCACTGGGACTATCCTCCAAGTTCAGAGCCATCAGAATATGTCAAGAAAAAATATGACTGTCAGTTCTGCAGGACCCAGCCTCTAAACTTACACATTTTAATAACTCCTAACTCTTCCTTGTTCCTTCAACCCTAGGGTCAGTAGCTGCTTCCTGTAGTTGCTACTTCCGTGTTCAAATAATTGGCATGGATTTTGTCTCCTCACTAGATGCTGACTGATAGAAAAGTTGTTACCAGGAGTGGCCCTGGAAAGTAGACCTTCATAGATGGGACTTGGGGATTGCTTTGGTAAAGTCCCTGAGCTTGAACCCAGTGTTAAACTCCTTGCCAATAAAAAATGAAATGCATTGCATGCAATAACATCACCATTATTACTTTTGTTGTTTAAATAAAGCACCTATTGAAATAAGTGGCTTGGGGGCTCAAGTTGCTGCTGCTCTTGACTATTAAGACAGTCATGATGATTATAAGCATTGTTGTGGAGGATGTCTTCTGAGTGTACTGTGTGCTTTCAGAAAGAAAAATGGCAAATTCAAGACCTTAATATCTCAGGTCAGGTCATAATCAGAGATACAGAAAAGATTCAGCAGCAGCCCTAAAATAATAACTTGTTTGTTATAGCCACAGGACTGATACTGCCCCATATTAAACACTAACTAAATTTAATTGTGTGAGTTGCATAATTGAAAGTTAAGCTGAATTCACAGCTTCAACAAGACTGTCATGTGAAAGTTAGGGAATTGATAAAGAAGAAGTTTTAGAATTGAAACCTGGCATAAGGATTTCTGTCTGAACTCAAAGGGGACTGAAGATCTTGAATCTCCAAGTCATTCTGAGCCTCCTCTACCAGTAAAAATAGATTTCCCTCCTGAGTCTGATGAGAACAGCTGTCCACTGCTGGAAAATCCTCTAATAACCTCACTTGGGAAATGTACTTATATGGAATGCCTATTGTGCTGAATAGCCACCATAACTATAAATTTTTCCTACTAGTCCTGTATTTCTGATCACATTTCAGATGCTCCATAGGGCAAATACAATGTATGATCCAGGAAAAATAGCTCATACATGAAAAAACATGCAATAGGCCAAAATCCAGAATACTGACAACACCAAATGCTGACAAGAATATGGAGCAACAGGAGTTCTCATTCATTGCTGGTGGGAATGGAAAATGGTACAGCCACTTTGGAAGACAGTTTGATGTTTTCTTACAAAACTAAACATATTCTTACCATACAATCTGGCAAGCATACAACTTGGTATATACCTTAAAAAGTTGAAAACATATGTCCACTCAAAAACCTGCATATGGATGTTTAAAGTAGCTTTATACATAATTGCCCAAACTTGAAAACAATCAAGATGCCCTTCAGTAGGAGAATGGATAAACTGTGGTACATCCAGACAATGAAATACTATTTAGTACTGAAAAGAAATGAGTTATCAAGTCATGAAAAGACATAGATGAGATTTAAATGCATATGACTAAATGAAAGAAGCCATTTGAAAAGGCTAAATACTGTATGACTCCAAGTATATGACATTCTGAAAAAAGTAAAACTATGGAGACTAAAAAAATGAGTGGTTGCCAGGGGTTGGGGTAAAAGGGGTGGAATAGGAACAACAAAAAAAGGATTTTAGCGCAGTGGAACTATTCTGTATGATACTATAAGGTGGGTACAAATTATGTATTTATCCAAACCCATAAAATGAACAACAACAAAAGTGAACCCAAATGAAAACTATGGACTCTGGGTGATTATGTGTCAATGTAGATTTATCAGTTGTAAAAAATGTATCACTCTAGTGGGGGATGCTGATAATGGGGGAAGCTACACATGTGTGAAAACAGGGTATATAGGAAACCTGTGTGCTCGATTTTGCTGTGAACTCAAAACTACTCTGGAAATAAAGTGTATTTTTAAAAAACATTATTGTATTATTATATATTAGCAGAAACCTGAGGAATATGTGTAAGTGTATTTTTGGGGTAGTAAACCAAAGAAGATGGAATATGACACTCTTATAGTCTCACTTGGGGAAGTTGCTTATATGGAATGCCTAAATGACGTGGTTACACTTAAAGATTCTGGATGTAAATTTTTTGTACAAAGAATTATTTGATTTGTTTGTTTAAACTTGAAATCAACCATGGCCTATGTTTACTGATGCTCAGATGTCAGGACTTTTTTGACATAACATAAAGGAAAGGAATCAAAGACTTAAGGAGATAGGAATTTTGGAGAAGATTTATCATGTTACACTGCACACATACGCAGCACCAAGTAACTTCCCAAAAGTCCCAGAGAAAACTGCCTTCACTCAAGGATTTTATATTCATGGGGGACTCTTGCAGTAGCCTAGATATGATGGTGGAGATACTCCCTCTCCTTGATTTCAGTAGAGATAATAGGATCTCAGAGCACTGGAAGCTAAGTCACAAAACTTGACTACCAAAGTAAAAGTAAGTGCAGTTGGCCTGTTTGAATTACATGGGTCCACTTACACGCAGATTTTTTTCAACCAAACACTGATTGAAATACAGTATTCTCAAGATGCAAAACTTGCATATATGGAGGGCCAACTTTTCATAAACACTCCACAGGGCTGAGCGTGAGACTTGAATATGTGCAGATTTTGTATATGCAGGAGGCCTGGAACCAATCCCCCCCACCCAGTACACTGAGAGACAACTGTACATTCACTGTAAAGAGAAACAGAGATATAGTGGTAGCCAGAATGCTTTGACCCACAGGGATCTGTCAGTAGATAGTTTATTATGGTATCCTTGGAATGAAATTAAGGGGAAGCCTATTAAAATGTTGGTTGATATCTATACTCAGATATTCAGGGGATTGTATTAGTTTCCAAATGCTCCTCTAACAAATTACCATAAAATTGGCAACCTAAAACAACACAAATGTATTATCTCACAGATTTTGTGGGTCAGGAGTACAGCAGGGCATGGTGAGATTCTTTGCTCTTGGTCTTACAGGAATAAAACCAAAGTATCAGCTGGTCCTCATCTGAGGCTCAGTCTTCTTCCAGGAATTGTTTTGTTGGCAGGATTCATTTCTTTCTCATGTTTTCATATAGTCCCCTCCATCTTCAAACCAGCAGTGGTAGGTCAAGTTCATGTTATACTTTGAATCTCTGATTTCCTACCCTACCCCCACTTCCCTCTCCAATATCCTCTTCTGCTGTCAGCTGGGAAAAAAATGTTCCGCTTTTAACGGCACATATAATTACACTGGACACACCTGGATAATTCAGGCTATTGTCACTATCTTGAAGTCCACTGATTAGTAACCTTAATTACATTTGAAATGTCCCTTTTGTTATGTAGCAGACATGCTACATAACATCCCCAAGTCCCATCTATGAAGGTCTACTTTCCAGGACCACTCCTGGTAACAACTTTTCTATCAGTCAGCATCTAGTGAGGAGACAAAATCCATGCCAATTATTTGAACATGGAAGTAGCAACTACAGGAAGCAGCTACTGACCCTAGGGTTGAAGGTACATGACCTTGGGTCATGACACAAGGGCTCAGAGGCCTTGGAGGCTGAAATTCTGCCAATCACAGGAACTATTAGACACTAAGTTGACACTAATTTCTAGAGACCCAAATGCCACTGGTCCTCCAAAAAAAAGTGGTGACTTTTGGTGGCCAGATGATAGTTAGAATCTTGGTCTACGTTTGAATCACAGTGGACCCAGTGGGCCTGCAGGACAATTCCCCAATTTGTGAATGTATAATTGGAATAATCATGTTTGACAACTGGCAGAATCCCCACATTGGCACTGAGGAATAAAGCTCATTTGGTAAAAAAGGGCCAAGTTGAAGCCCCCAGAAGTTTCCTTGATACAAGAATAGTAAATAAAAAATAATACTATATTGATGGGAAAATTTTGAAGATGGGTGCCATTATCAGAGACTTGGAAAAAGCTGGGTTGTGATACCTACCATCTCCCCATTGAGCTTGTTTATCCCGTAGACAAAGCAGATAAACCCTGGAGTATAACAGAACAATTATGTATTATTATTTTAAATGAATTCAGGTGATGACCTCAACTGGAGATGATGTCCCAAATGTTGTATCTTGAATGGAGCAAATTAAGACAGCCCCTGGCACCTGGTATGCAGCTATTGACAAGAAAATGCATTTTTCTCTGTATCAGGGCAGCCAGAAGTACTTTTCTTTGACCTGGCATGGCCAACAGTAACCTTCCAAGCATTGCCTCAGGGCTATGTCAACTATCCTGCTCTCTGTCCTAATATACTCATGCTATTAATCATCTTGACTTTCCATACAACATCATAACAGTCCACTACATCAATGACATCTTGCTGGTGACATTTGATGAGCAGGAAGTAACAAGTACCTTAGAGGACTTGGTAAAACATTAATGAACTCCAGGGCAAGAAACAAACTCTACAAAAATTAAAAAGCTCACAGCCTCAATGAAGTTTCTTGAAGTCAAATTGTCTGGAACACACTGACATATCCTTTCCAAGGTGAAAGAAAAACTGCTGTATTTTAAGCTAACTTCAGCTAAAAAGGCACAACTCTTGGTGGGCATTTTTGTATTTTGGGGTCAACATATGCCATATTTGAGTGTGTTATTTCAACCCACTTAATGAATAACTCAAAATGCTGCTAGGTTTTAGGGCAAGAGCAAGAGAAGGCTCTAAAGAAAAGTCCCAGCTATGGGCGTGGTGGCACGCACCTGTAATCCCAGCTACTTGAGAGGCTGAGGCAGGAGAATTGCTTGAACCTGGGAGACAGAGCTTGCAGTGAGCCCGGATCACGCCACTGCACTCCAGCCTGGGTGACAGAGCAAGACTCCATAAAAAAAAAAAAAAAAAAAAAAGAAGAAGAAGAAAGAAAGAAAAGTCCCAGCTATAATTCAAGCTGCTATTTCATTTGAGCCTTATAATCCAGCACATCCAACCATATTTGAAGTGTCTATGGAAAACACACGCTCACCGTATATAGCCTCTGGCAAGCATCAATAGAAGAATTACAGGTCAGACTTATAAGGTTTTGGAGAAAATCCATGCCCTCCTCTGAAAATAACTACTGTCCTTTTGATAAACTACTTCCGGCTTGCTAGTGGGCAAGAACTGGAAAAAATGGAATGACTGTGCAACCTGAGCTTCTCATGCTTAGCTGGGTGTTATCTACCCACCAAACTATAAGGCTGGATGTGCACAGGAGCAATCTATTAAGGCAGGGGCCCCCAACCCCTGGGCAGTGGACCGGTACCAGTTGTGGCCTATTAGGAACCAGGCAGCACAGCAGGAGGTGAGCCACTGGCCAGAAGCATTACTGCTTGAGCTCTGTCTCCTGTCAGATCAGCTGTGGCATTAGATTCTCATAGAAGCGCAAACCCTATTGTGAACCGCGCATGTGATGGATCTAGGTTGTGGGCTCCTTATGAGACTCTAATGCCTGATGATCTGTCACTATCTCCTATCACTCGCAGGTGGGACCATCTAGTTGCAGGAAAACAAGCTCAGGGCTCCCATTGATTCTACATTATGGTGAGTTGTATAATTATTACATTATATATTACACTATAATAATAATAGAAATAAGGTGCACAATAAATGTAATGCCCTTGAATCATCCTGAACCATCCTACCCACCTCCCTGGTCCATGGAAAAATTGTCTTCCATGAAGCCAGTCCCTCGTGCCAAAAAGGTTGGGGGCTACTGCCGTATGTTATACCCCAAGCTAAGTAAGCTTCATATTAACCTAATTTCATTGAATACTTACATCAATCCTGTAAAATAGATACTGTTACCTTACCTTTGTAGATGAGGAAATCAAACCTAAAGGCGGTTCAATAGTTTATTCATAAGTAAAAAACAGAAATACAAACCCAACTCTGACCCCAAAATTCATGATGAGACCATGAAGTTAAGGAATTGGAAGTAAAGATTGGTGTTGGGAGATTCAGTAGATCCAAGGATATCTCCTTGGGCAGCTGTGGGCTTCAGAATAAGTTCCTCTTTGTGCCCATTATGTTCCTATTTCTCGGCTTCAAGGCCTCCCTTCTGTACTCTGCAAAACACACTGTGGCTTTGACCGCAGTTCTGTTAGGCTTTTCTACTAGGGGGTGACAGAGGAAAACTGCAAAGCTGGAATAGGAAGGCAGGATTTGTTCCTTCCTTCTGCTCCATTTGGGACTTCCTGTATGCTAAGCAGATCCCAGGATAATCGCCCCAAGTCACACTTCTCACTCCAGCAGGTGCAGATCCTGCCCATGGCAGCACACGAATTCAGTTTGCAGTTTTCTCAACACTTGAAGAACCAGCTTCATTGTCTCCTTTCCAGGGTCACCAGGACCAACCAGTCCTCTCTTAAAACAACAGTTTCAGCGCTACAGGACATCTCCCTCTCTAAGGTTTAATTCCTTGCCTCCTGCATTTAAAGCTAGGCCTTTAAAGCTTCCCTGGAAAACTAGGGCTTTCTGCAGTTTCCACATTTGTGGTATTTTAGGGTCCTCTTTTTTTACCTAGTGAACAGCTTAAAAATTATTCTTATGAATTTTATTCAATAGAAAAAGAAAGGGTTTGGTTCTCATCTTCTGCGGGACCCTAACTGTTATACTCTTACTGCCTTTGAAAAATTAGATTATTTAGTGAGCCATTTGTACAGAATGTTCACTTACTCCCTTTCATTAATCACCATAGTGGATTATGAGAAAAAAATTATATCTGAGCTTTGGAGATGGCAGTCAGAGAATTACAGCATTTTAGACCTGTTAGAATCCAATTGAGAAACTAGAAAGATTACTCAACAACATTAAGCTCTGTAGTTAAGAAAGTTCCACCTTTTCTATCAAAGGCCTTCCATGAAAAGTGGGATGTGCCCAGAGACCTGACTGCAGACGGCCCTTTGTTAATGACTGACTTATCCCCAGAATCATAACTCTGACTTAAGAAACCTATTCTCCATCATGATTATTCTGTTAAGTGCGATTAGACAGAATTAGTTTTAAAAGCTCAAAGACACAAAGGGATGTTGAGAAACTTGAAGGGAGAAAATGTTGAATCATCACATCAACTAAAGCATGAAAGCCTTGGGTAAGACCGGAGATTTGAGAGTTTAGTAAAATTGTTTTGTGAGGTTGAGAGAGACTAATCCAAAGCACCAACTATTATGAGCCTATGTTGGGCCTATTCATTTCTAAGCACGTTCTCTTTTTTCTTCTTTGTTCTTGCATTACAAATATGGGATAGAGAAACAGGAGTGGTAGAATACACAACATGAAAATCAAAATTCCTGGCTTTTAATGGGTTAATATTTAACATACAAAATTTCGACTTTTATTTTCTCAATTTTTTAATATCTTATTTATTTTAGTTGCATGAATGAAACAAACGAGATATTTTCCCAAAAGGATCAGAGAAATCTTGGTCCAAATGGGGCCAGAGTAAAGAACTACAATTATGTTATCTCTAAGACAGTACTGACTTGTTCAAAAGATGACACCTGTGACCCTGGAAAAAAAAGATCCTAGTGGGCTGATAACCTTACGGTAGGAAGAAGGGAAAGAACTCAGGATTTTCAGAGCAACTGAAGCCAGGAAGCATGAGGAAGTTTGAGAAGAGTTAGAGATGGCAGAGGTTGACAGCAACAGCCACAAAAAACTCTGAACAGAAGGAAATTCAACGTTCTCTATTCAGGAGAGGTTGAGGGAGACAAAACAATAGAATCCTAGAGATAGAATTCAGGAAACTCTGAGGTTAACATTTTTGCCCTTTACTCCAACGCTTGTTGGTTTAGTGATCAGAAGGGACCAAACAGAAAGAGAACTGCACAAAAGCCAGGGATAGTAGTTAGAGGGAACCAGAAGCTGAGACTAGAAGTCATACAAAACACTTGTTTTGTGTGTTAACGTGTACTAAGCAAAACAAACTTGTTATGTTGTTTCTCAGGGGTCCCCAAGCCCCGGGTTGCAGAGCGATACCTGTCCCTGGCCTGTTAGGAACTGGATCACATGGCAGGAGGTGAGCAGCCGAGGAGCAAGTGTTCCCACCTGAGCTTTGCCTCCTGTCAGCTCAGCAGATCGGCGGTGGCATTAGATTCTCACAGAAGCGCAAAGCCTATTGTGAACCGCACGTGCGAGGGATCAAGGTTGCACGTTCCTTGTGAGAATCTGTCTGAGGTGGGACAGTTTCATCCCAAAACCATCCCACCTTCATCCCACCCACAGTCCATGGAAAAATTGTCCTCCATGAAACCGGTCCCTGGTGTCAAAAAGAATGGGGACTGCTATTGTATTTGAGTATAGGTTGACACTTTAATCACTCTGAAGATGTTTTTAACTGTAGGAAGGGGCAGAGAGTGGGATGAGAAAGGAATCAGAAGACCTGAGTTTAAAATCCCAACTCTACTCACTCACTGACTGTGACCTTAGACAAGTCTTCTCAGAAGCTCAGTTTTTGTCTTCTATATCAAATGGGGGTTCTAATATGTCACAGTATTGCTGTGAATAACAAATAAGGTTATTAATAGTAATATGCCTGGCATATAGTAGGTGCTCCAGAAATTTTATTTTCTATTCCTCTTCTCCACTCAAGTGTATGTCTTCAGGAGCAGAAAGCCCTTTTGGCTATGGAGAGGATAGCATGAGCCAGATAGTCATGTGTGGAAAATAGCTTTAAAAATAGGAAGAGCATTGCTCAGGGTGATGTTGTATTCCATTTGAATAAAATGGATCACATAAAAATGGTCATCTCATTCTCAGTCCAAGCGCTTCATAGTAAGCACAGTTTTCATCTATATGTTGGAGCCTTCCAAATCTTCACCTCCAGCACTGAGCGTGGTGTACTCTCGAAAATCAAAACACACAATATTAGTGGGAACGTTTATCTCATGTTATCTTCCTCCTTTCTGCTCTTTTCATCCCAATGGACTCAGATGTCAAATTTCCACTCAGGAAAACTGACCGGCTATAATTACAAGCTGTTGCAATACATCTTATTCTACAGAGGAAATTTTTAACTGTATCAAAATATAAATTGTGTCACTTCATGTAAATCACAGATAGTAATAAGAAAGAATGAGGAAGAAGTCACGCTCAAGCAGCTAGAGCATTTCTTCAGTCCCCTCTGAGTAATAAATCCTGCTAGGCGTTTGTGATGACTGCCTCCTGAAAAAGGCAACGTGGTAGAGGGGACATGAGGAGTGCACACTGCTTACCAGTGATCTCACAGGGTTCCAGCAAAGCAAGGTCGAGGGGCACAGTTTGCTTTTTGGAGGCGGGGTCTTCACTGGTTACAAAAACTATAATGAAGACTATCAACAGGCAGGCTTTCCAGGCGTGGGAAACCTAAAAGCTAAACTCCCAAATTTAGCCCTAGATTCCCTATCGTCGGAGAGAAAGAATACCTGAAAATGACGGGGAAGAAAAAAGCTCCAGCCTCCCTCTGCTTATTTAGTAACAACAATCACACCTATTAGAATCATTTATTGAGGACTTACTATGTTCCAGGCACTGCATTGCACATTTTAATGCTTTCTTTAATTTATTCTTTAAACATCCTATCAATGTGATAGTAACATTAGCCATATTTACAAATGACGGAGTTAAAGAGGTAACTTCCTGCCTTAGAAAAATATATACCAGTGGTTCTCCATGGGTCTACTTAATTCAAGTTCAAACACCTCATCCTGGGGTCAAGACTCTACATCTTGCTTTTATCTCACACAATTGTTCTCTAGACACAGCGCACTATTCATGGCTTCCTAACAACCATTTGTTCTTTTCCACTTCTATGCATTTACTGCTGCTGTTCCCTATAGCTGGAATGCCTTCCTACTCCTCTGCCTTGCATTCAAGCCCTGTGTACCCTGCGAATCCCAGTAAATTCTCAGATATTTAAGAGTACACCATGTCCTGCTTGTCCTTGAATGCCTTAAATCTCCTAGCACAGTACAAAGCAAACAGCAGGTGCTCAACAGAGATAGGTTGAAATAAACCAAGTTATATATTTTCTCTTGAAAAATGCAATAATCAATAATAGAGAAATTATAAACTAATGTATAGTGACTAAGAATGCAGACTCTGGGGTCAGGTGGCCTTGGTTCAGATTTTAATTCCATCACTTACCAGCTATTGACTTTGAGCAACTTACTTAACCACTCTATGCCTCAGTTTCCTTCAGCTATGAAAGAGAGGATAGCTTTAATACCAACCTCATAGGGCTGTGGTAAGAATTAAATGACATGATACGTGTAGTGCACTTTTAAAAAAATCTGTCACACAGAAAATTCTGTATGAGAATTTGCCCTTACCATATAGCCAACTATATGTTTAGTAAAATAAGCTAAAAACTCAAAGTATATTTTAAAGCCATAGTGTCAGCTAATATTTAAATACATAACAATTAAGTCTCTTCAAAAAATTTCAAGTACTGCAGGAGCTCTTTGGAAAATCAGTGGTCATTCAATTCAATACAGTAGTCAGATTTATCTAATCAATGGAGAAAAAAGTCTCTGATTCAAAATAAATTTATAAAGTACAACTATTGTTAGAAAATAATTCCAAGGATGAAAATTCCAAAGCTTACTCTAGAATAATTGTAAGTTTAAATATCTCAATACTTCACATAGTAGGCAGCTGAAAATTTTATTTTACCAGTGCCTGGCATATAGTAGGTACTCAAATTTTATGGAGTGTCTATTTTCCTAAACATATTAATTTTAGTTAACACATATTTTTATATATTAGTTAATCATAAAGAATTATCTGTTACTATCTGTATACTCCACAGCCTACAATAATACATAAGAATTAAACTGAAAGCCTAGGGTTCCCAGGAAAAATAGGTAACACTTCCAGCCAGCTGGCTAAGCAATCACTTGCAAGAATGTTGCATGTGCCACGGGACTGAAAGCTATGAGATCAGCCCTGCATGTTGCCAGATGACAATTATAGAGACTATCAGATGTCCTCAAGTGGAAAACACCACTACTTCCATTTAAAAGAAATTCAATTTGGGGGTAATTTTCAGTGCAAGCTAATAAGGTGATGAGATATATCAGGCTTGACTATAACCACAAACTGGAAAAAAAAAAAATCTGATGCAACTGGAAAACACTCCCAAAGTTCACCATTTAACCCAAGCCCAGAATCCTTTGCATGAATTTTCAGCATATAGCAAAGTAAACAAAGAATAAATTGATGTCAATGGCAGCCTTGATACCAGCCATTCTTTCTTTCAATCTATACTATAAAGGAATGCACTGGCAGTTTCAAAGATCATGCAATTCAGGAAATGAAGACCAAATGTTTTTATTTACTAGACATTTTTATTAGGATGACAAACTTTAAAGGTTTCTATATCCTGCTTTTGTGAAGGGATGAAGAATTCCAACAGGCTTTAGGAAAATTGAGTGGCCCTAAGGTGTGAAGCTTCCTAACATCCCTGCTGACTCAGGAGGTGACACTGTGGAAGGTGTTTCCCAACAGCCACCCACAAATTCACTGAGTTGTTGGGAGATGGATATTCGTAAGGCACAAAGTGGCTCACAGCAAAACATGACTAACGCACATAAAAGTGACTATCTCGTTCTCAGTCCAGGCACATCATTGTAAGCAAAATTTTTCCTGTATGTTGGAGCCTCCCAAATCTGCACGTCCAGCTCTGCTCCCTCTCACGGCTTCAGGATGCTTTGTCTGTAGGTCCCAAACTAAACTCATCTCCAATCCCTTTCCTATCACCCCAGACAGCAGCTGTTTCTACGAGTAAATCTGACACCTAGACATGATCCTTGGCTCCACACATCCTCTCAATCAGCATGACCTATCATCTCCACTTTCAAAAGGGCTTCCAAACTCTACCACTTCTTAACAGTTCATCAAAAACTAGCATCAACTGTCTATCCTCACACTTTCTAGTCGTGCCAGTTTCCACTTTGCTCTGCTGTAGTTCATTTTCCTTTGAACATAAGGAAAATGTTATCACTCCCTTCTTTAAGTCATCCAGTGGATTTCAACACCCTTAGAGTAAAATCTAAACTGTGTAGAACAACTAAAAAATTCTACATGGCCTGCCACCTGCCACCTTCTGTAACCTTATTTCCTATTATACTCCTTCAAAATCCTACACGGCCTGCCACCTGCCACCTTCTGTAACCTTATTTCCTATTATACTCCTTCAAAATCCTACACGGCCTGCCACCTGCCACCTGCCACCTTCTGTAACCTTATTTCCTATTATACTCCTTCAAAATCCTACACGGCCTGCCACCTGCCACCTTCTGTAACCTCATTTCCTATTACGCTCCTTGTCTTCACTATAGTCCAGCCACTCTGACCACTCTAACTAAGGTAATACACTCCCTGGCACTTCTCTGGAGTTCTTATTTATTCATTTGTTAGTTTTCTTATTGTCTGTCTCTCCCACTTGACAACAAGGACCTTATCTGACCTGTTTATTGCTCTATGCTTAGCACCTAGCATAGTCTTAGACATTTTGTTGAGGGCATTAATAAATTTAAAAAATACATGAGCATAATCTACAATTATATAAAATTTAATTCCACAAAAATATCGATTTTGTGCAAACTATTGCTATTAGGTGAGCCATCGTTCACTAGTAGTGTGACTTTAGAATCATTACTTAATATCCTTATTCTTGGTTTCATCATCTGGGAAATGGGTACAGTAATAGTGTACCCAATAGTGATCTTAAAGGGTTGTAAGATGTAAGGAAGAAGATGCACAATAATACTTAGCACCATGCCTGACACATGGTATACATCCAATCCATGAAAAGTGTTAGCAGAGGATTAGTGTTCCCATTACCTTAAAAACAAAAATATTAATTTTATTGTGGAAACTGCTGTACCACCCAGATGGTGGTCCCTAAAAACTGAATGATGTGATAAGAAATCTCTGGTAACTCCCACTTCTCTATTCCCACAAAACTATGATATCTTCTAAGACACTCCTCACTCCCCTAGAACACCCAAATAGTTTCCTAATTATTGTCCTTGTCTTCAAGTTTCCTCCTTTCTACAGCATAGTCTTTTGATTAAGAAAATAGCTCTAAACTCAACTCCCCTTGTGGTCCCAAGACCTTCAATGACCTGGCCTCATCCTTCCTACCAATCTTACACTCAACTAATCTTGAGGGTCTTCTGCACTGTAGTCAGACAATACCCCTAAAGCAAGAGGGAATCTGGCACAGTGATTAAGACCATGGAGTCTGAAGCCATACTGCTTGGCTTCAAATGCCAGCTACTCACCCACTAGCTACTTAGCCTCTCTATGCTGCAGGTTCCTCGTCTGTCAAAGGGCAAGGATAATATCATTGCATACATCATCATAAGGTTGTTGTAAGAACTGTATGAAATAATGCATGCAAAGCACTCAGCACATTACCTAATACTTAGTAAGTGGCAATGATAACCATGATGAGCCTTCCCTCAAAAACTACAGTATCCTTCCAAAATCTAGTCATGTCACATGCCTGTTCAGCAACCTTTACATAATGCCTATTGCCTACAAGATAAAGTTCAAAATCCTAAGTGTAGGATACTAAGCACAGTACAAATTCTTCATACTGTGGCACTAACCCACCTTTCCGTCTTCATTCCAACAGATTCAGAACCTATGCTTCAACCAGGCAACACTTTTTGTCATACCATGGGGGCCCTGTGGCATTTTGTTTCAATGGCTGAAATCTCCTTCCTATTTATTTCTATCTGCTCAGCTCCTTTTCACCCTTCAAGATCCAAACAGATGTTCTCTTTTTGTGAAGGGCTTCCTAAGTTTTCTAGGAGAAGTCTGTGGCTTCTACCTCTAAATTCTCATATCATAACCTGGAAAATCTAAATGTACAATCCTTTGTTATTGTTTGCTGGTTTACTTCTCTGTGTCTGTCTTCTTCTCTATGACCCCTGTAAGGGCAGGAGCCTATTGCGACTTTTTGCATGATGCCCAACATACAACAGGTGTTCAATCAATGAGCATTTTATATGTAAATTCTAATTTTGATATGTAAATATCTAAGAGAGATGTAAATTCTAGCATAGGAATCCAAAACTGCAAAATCATTCCAATAAGAAAATGGCTAAAAAGAAAGCAGTTTCATGCTAAGCATTTTTTTAATCCAACATCTTGTTGATTTGCATCTCATTTGGCTTCTGATTCCTCTGCATTGTGCAATTTTCTACTTTAGAACTTGAGCCATCTTATCTGAAAAAATGGGTCAAGAAAATATGTACATGTTTTTAAGCCTTTCTAAGTAAGCCATTTCTAAAGGTTTTACCAGTTTAGTATTTTTCATATTCTAAAGTAATTCTAAATCATCATACTAAATTTTCTACCTTTATCTACTTTTAAAACTTTATTTTTAGAGTTTTAGTGGTTTAGATGAAACTCGGAAATGTCTCTATTCTGGACCACAGAGCCTGGAAGTAAGACAGGGGTGTTCAATGTTTTGGCTTCCCTGGGCCACATTGAAAGAAGAATTGTCTTGGGCCACACATAAAATACACTAACACTAATGACAGCTGATGAGCAAAAAAAGAAAAAAAATCACAAAAAAATCTCATAATGTTTTAAGAAAGTTTATGAATTTGTGTTGTGCTGCATTCAATGCCTTTCTGGGCCACAGGTTGAACAAGCTTGCTGTAAGATGTTGCTAAATCTCCCCAAGTATGTTTCATAAAGCACTGACCTATAGAGCTAATCTCTGAAAACAAACAAAAAGCAGTCCATGGTCAAGTAAGTTTGGAGAAAAATATATGCTATATCTCTGTATTGAAAAGTCATAGAGCATTTTAGCACATTAAAGGCTCCGAGAGGCCCAACAATGAAGAATTCAGCATTTCCCAAACTTACTTACCAGAAAACACTTTCAAGTCCCTTGGAACCAGTGTTCATGGAACTCAGTCTGGTAAATACTGCATCATTTAGCTTCTGAATGGCCCAATACAACCAGCCTTTTGGTTATAAATAATCTCCATTTATAACACAGTTGGATGGAGCTTAAAGGACACCCATCTTTGTCACCCATGAAGGTCTTCATTCCCACCTGCATGTTCTTACCAAGTTATTGTTCAGAGCATATTTGAAAGGAATGCAGAACAAACGATTTGTTATAGCTCTGTTTGAAAGTGCCTCTTTACACAAAACCAAAATCTATTTCTCTATAGATTCTATCCATTCATCTTCATTCAGTTTATTGGAGCCACAAATAATAAATCTAAAATGTTATATCACTTTTTCAGCCTGAGGGCCTAAAGGATCACATAGAACCTGTAGTCACTGGTAGAACAGCAAACAAAAAGCTTACTTGTCCTCTTCATCTGAAAAGTAAACAAAAGAAGTGGGAAACGTTTGCAGATGCCTGGCATACCGAGCCATTATTAGTGAGGGTATAATGATTAGAAGATAATGGCCCGGTACCTTTGAAGACTGGAATGAAGATTTCTGTGTAGTGACACACTGGCAATGTGAATAGTCCTAATTTGACAACAAAACAACCTAAATCTCTTTTATGAGGTGAGCAGTGTATCTTAGGTAATAAACACTTAAGTAATTAGGCATTTTTTATGGAAATAACTATAAACTGAAACATGGGGGAAAAACCCTCAGTAATAGGCTGACGCCCAGGGAGATGGGTATATAAGAGCCAGAGCAGAAGAGAGGAGCATCGAGACACCAACAGACTTCTCTCAACTCAACAAAAACCCACCTCCCATTGCCATGTATTGCTGTGCTCTCCGCTCCTGCAGCGTCCCCACCGGCCCTGCCACCACCTTCTGCTCATTTGATAAAAGCTGCCGCTGTGGAGTCTGCCTACCCAGCACCTGCCCACATGAGATCAGCCTCCTTCAGCCCATCTGCTGTGACACCTGCCCCCCACCCTGCTGCAAGCCTGATACCTATGTGCCAACTTGCTGGCTGCTCAACAACTGTCACCCGACTCCCGGACTGAGTGGGATCAACCTGACCACCTATGTTCAGCCTGGCTGTGAGAGTCCCTGTGAGCCCCGCTGTTAACCAGCCGAGTCTGCACAGGTTCCGTGAGGTGGCTGCCCAATGTCCTCTGCACCATCTGGGCTTCAGCACTCACTACTGCCTACATCAAGGCTAAGGCCATCCCAATCCCCGGGGCCAAGTCTTGATGAATCTTCTTAATTATTTGCACATTTGGGTACCATTGGAGACCTCCCTTCTGTCTTTTAGGCTATTTCATCACTCTTTGAGAAATAACCATTTTGACCATTTGTTAATAAACTTTATTCTGGCTTAGCAAATATGACCTTGTGATTATTTATTTTCATGTCTCCCATTAGGGAAAGTGGAATGCCTACCTAAACCTGAACAGTAGGTTATCACACTATCCAAGATTTACCCCAACAGAATAAGAGCTCTCATAGTGGAATTTATCGAAAAAATAGATACTGGTTATTTGTGATAAGTTAAAAAGTAAAAAATGTGGTAGTTCATTTTATAGAAGCTTTTTATTTAACAGATATTTATTTAATAGATATTATTGGAAGACATCCACTGTGCAAGCACTATGCTAGAGTCTAGAGATTAACAGAATGTTTTAAAAATACTTGATTTTAGTTTCCATTGATTCTGACATTGATTTTTCTTTCTTCCTTAATTGACTAAATGAATTGATCACTGTGCTGGTGTGTATAAATAATTTGATTATCCTAGTCCTCACAGTCATCTGAAATTCTGAGCTCAAAATGCAAAGCAATTTTGAGAAGTGTATATATCCATTTCTTCATATATGCTGTCTTCCAAAACAATCCATTTTTAATTAATGTTAGCATTTATCGAGTATTCATTGATTCCTCAAATGGGGCTTACATTGGTTTACATTAGTCATGACTATGATTAGAAGTTTGCTAGTCTAAGTGACATATAATATCATGACATTGAAATATGCTTAAAATATCAGACTACAGTGTAGTATTTTCTATACACCAGAAATAGTCACACAATTCTGAGAGCAAAAACACACAGTTTCTATTAGAACAAAACTACTACGATAACCACTAATTCATGTCCTTATTTATCTTAGAAAAATCTAGGTGCAATTAGGTCTTTGCAAAAAATAAAGGTATTGTGATTATATATATATATATATATATACACACACACACACTTTTGGACTTGCCTTTGGCCTTTGGGCCAATTGCTTCCCTCTCAGTCTCAATTTCCCTGTTATTAAAGTGATTTCCTACCTATAGCGTGGTTTCCTACCTATAGCTTGGTTTCCTACAGGCTCAGTTAGCTTGTTATTACTCTCTGCCCTGCTTTTGTCTCAGGATTATTGTGAGGACCAGATGCCCTGAAGTGTAGAAACCACCGTGTCCACAGCATCAACCTGTTACACATGAGAGACTCTCACCATTACTGCCATATGGAAGTTCCCAACTTTCTCACCAAAAGACATCTTTTAAAAATATTTATTTATTTATTTATTTATTTATTTCCGTAGCTTTTGGGTTACAGGTGGTTTTTGGTTACATGGATGAATTATATAGTGGTGGTGAATTCTGAGATTTTAGTGCACCCGTACCCAAGGAGTATACATGGTAGCTAATGTGTAGTGTTTTATCCCTGGCCTCCCTCCCACCCTCCACTTTTTGAGTCTCTAAAGTCCATTATATCACTCCATATGCATCTGCATACTTAGTTTAGCTCCCACTTATAAGTGAAAACATGGTTTTTTGTTTTCCATTCCTGTAATTTCCCACTCCATTTCACTCAGAATAATGGCCTCCAGCTCCATCCAAGTTGCCACAAAAGACATTGTTTCATTCCCTTTAACAGCTGAGTAGTATTCCATGGTGTATACATACCACAGTTTCTCTATCCACTCATTGGATGATGGATACGTAGGTTGGGCATCTTTTTATTTCTTGAAATATGTATTTTTCCCAAATGGCTTTCTTAAAAATGTTTATTAATTCCTTCATTTGTGTTCATAAATACATTTATAAATATCAATTAAATGTTTAGGATTACTATAGAATAACCTTTGTTACCATGCCAAGTTACCTTTTTTCTAGTCAAAAACAAAGAATTTTCATGTTTTCATACATGCTAGTAAGGGATAAAAATTAGAGTTTGTTTTTAATACCTAAAATAACTCGAAGTTCCTATTACTACTACCATGGTCTTTAGCATTCACGGGCCCTGGCCTAGTTATAAATCCCCAACTGGAAACCAGAAGATGTGTTGTTTTAGTCCTGGCTCTGCCTTGAGCTGCCTCTGTGGCCCTAAGCAAGTCAATTAAGTTCTTGGGGTCTCAGGTGTTAAAGCAGTAAAATGGGTTGGTTGATCACACCATCTCTAAGGTTGCTTTTCGTTTTAACATTCTATGATTCTAGATCATCCAGAAGCATTCTAAGTAACAAGTACCCCATGCAACTAACCAAGCCCATTCTACCTCATTACTTTTACTGCTTTCATTAGGAATAGCTCACACTGAGTGAGTATCTACTGGACATACTAATGAGGTAGAAGGTGGGACTCTACTCCAGAAGCGGGGCTCAGATACTGGACCAAATTGAGGGCTAGCTAAAACAGGATGGGGACAGAAACAGCTTTCCAATCAGACATGCCCACCAGCATGCTGTGTCAATTTACCATTGCCATGGCAACACCTGAGTTACCACCCCTTTCCATGGCAATGACCCAATGACCTAAAACTTACTACTCCTTCTTAGAAATTTCTGCACAAACCACTCTTTAATCTACATCTAATTAAAAGTAGGTAGAAATATGCAAAACTGCCCTGAGCTGCTACTCTCTGCCTACAGAGGTAGCCCTGTTCTGCAGGAGCAATCACAGAGCTGTAACACTGCTGCTTCAATAAAGCTGTTTTCTACCTCTGGCTTGCCCTTGAATTCTTCCCTAGGCAAAGCCAAGAACCCTTGCAGGCTAAGCCCCACTTTGGGGCTCCCCTGCCCTGCATCACTAACAGGTGAAGAAAGGCCACTAACAGGTGCAGAAACTCAGGCTGAGAAAGACTAAATTACTTGCAAAAGTTACATAAATCATAAGTGAGAGAGAAGGACTTAAACCCCAAACTAAGTCCGAAGTCCCTTCTCTTTCCACTACACCAAAGCACTCACCTTCCCCACAGACAGCAATATGTCAAAGAGAAATGTGACTATAGGTGGCTCTCTTTATTCAGGAGAAAGTATATGACACTTGACAATATATTCTCTACTATCCCTGTCAATTGTATCTTTTGTTGTTTTCTCTGTTTTCTCTGTGGTGATTATAGTCTAAAATAAAATGAGTGTATACAATGAGTATTAAAAAAGGTATCCGTGTTTCTAAGTTAAGAACAAACCTTTTTTAAAAAGTCAGACTTTACTGATTAGCAGTGTCAGCAGAGAAGAAATATTGGCTGCATCATTAACTTTGAATTGAAATGCAGAATGTTTGGCAACTCAAACACATTTTCAGTTCAACTTCAGCATCAATAATCAAGGTAAAACAACTGCCCTTAACATTAATAATTGTTTATCCTTGATAATATAATAAAAAACAAGATATTTCATTTTTCCTTCAAATTGTTATTGAGGCCAGGCACAGCGACTCGTGCCTGTAATCCCAGCACTTTGGGAGGCTGAGGTGGGTCTACTGTGAGTCCATTAAACTTCTTTCCTTTATAAATTACCCAATCTCGGGTATGTCCCTATAGCAGCATGAGAACAGACTAATACAGTATGGATGTGTCTACATGTGAGTAAGTGGAAAACTACACTGACACCATTTTGAAACTACAACAGAAAGCAAGTTTGAATGCAGCAACACAACTAAATAAAACTGAAGGAGAGCTCATCCCCTGTCTGATACATAAGAAGTTAGTGAGTTATTTTTACAGAATTAGGTAAACAGCAACAAGGATGTTCCGTCCAACATTCTGATGGACAGAAGCCGTGTTCCCTGAGATAGGTGGATATAAAAGACCCATAGAGGACAACCTTGTAGAAGAAAGCCTTCCTTTGCCACAAAACATTGTCCTGGTCCACTGTCACTATGTCTTGCTGTGATTCCTATCTCCAAGGATGCTGCAGCGTCCCCACTGGCCTGGCCACCACTATCTGCCCCTCTGACATAAGCTGTCAATGTGAAGTCTGCCTACCCAGCACCTGTCCTCATGAGATCAGCCTCCTTCAGCCCACCTGCTGTGAACCTGGCCCCTGCCTGGCTGCATGCCTGACTCCTATGTGCCATCCTGTTGACTGCTCAACAAATGCCACCCAGCTCCAACCCTGAGCGGGCTCTCTGTCACCACCTGCATCCAGAGTGTGAACCACCTTGCTGCTAGCCAAAGAGCTTGCCCACATTACCCTGAGGACCTTCAGTAGTCATTAAGCGCTGCTCAGCAAATGGCCTTTAATGAGGCCATTTGGAAGAAAATATAGCACTGTGCCTTCAGTTTTACAGAAGTTTTCTTTTCCTGTTTTGAACAATGATTTCAAATGAGAAATGGGAAAAAAAATGCTACCATGGATCCCCTTACTTCAAAACTAAATAAACACCACTACTCCCCAAACCACATACTGCCTCAACATTTAATGCTATAATTACCCAACGACTCTTGACACATGCATCATGAACTTAAAAATACATCCAGCAGAATTACACTTTCTGATGACATCAACATAAATTTCATAGCCAAAAAGAGGCCTCACAGGCATACGTAGATACCTGAAGAAAACTGTGAGGATAGTGAAATGCATTAGGCTCTAAGCTTAGAATCGTTTTAAATGCCAAGGTCAGCATCTACCTTTGATTTTTATTTTTTCCCTGCCTCTAAATAAACTCACGTGTCCTTAAAGAGGCAGTGAAGCTAGCAATTTGAGATCAACATGCTCACAGAAAGGACCTCAAAGATTGAGCCAAGCCCATTTTTTTCGCTGTCTCATTTAGGTAAATCTTTGAATTTAAAAATGTTGGCCAGGCATGGTGGCTCACGCCTCTCTAATCCCAGCACTTTGGGAGGCTGAGGCGGGCGGATCACCTGAGGTCCGGAGTTCAAGACCAGCCTGACCAACATGGTGAAAGCCCGTCTCTACTAAAAATACAAAATTAGCCGGGCATGGTAGAGCATGAATGTAATCCCATCTATTCCTCAGGCTGAGGCAGGAGAATGGCTTGAACCCGGGAGGCAGAGGTTACTGTGAGCCAAGATCGTGCCATTGCACTCCAGCCTGGGCAACAAGAGCAAAACTCCATCTCAAAAAAAAAAAAAAGTTTTGACAACTGTAAAGCAATTCACACAAAAAATGAATCACTCTCTTTATATAAAGTGTTACTGTTATAAAAGGCCATTATAAAAATAAATAAATACCTTTTTAATTCTAATCTGAAATGTAATCCAATTCAACAAATATTTATCAAATGCCTACCCTGTTTCAGGCATTGTCCTAGGTGCTTGAAAAAGACAAATAAAACTAACATACGATTACCACTTCCAAGAACCTTGCATTGGAGTGAGGAAAACAAATTTAAGTGACAAACTACAAAATATAGCAGAAAGAAATGAGGTTGAAAGGGAAGAATAGGCAGCCCATTTTGTGAGAGCAGAGAAAAGGATGCAAACATCTAGAAGAATCACCTAGAGTTTCTTTATGAAGGGGATGTTTGGCTGAATCTTGAGGGATCAACAGGATTTGGAAACTAGAGAATTGGGAAAGGTCACTTTAAGCTAAAGAAACAGTATGAACGAGGTCACAGAGGGTAAAGTACCTAGGAGACTCCCGCCTTCACTTTATGTAATGTGCTGTATGATTAACATATGCGTGACTCACATAGTTATCATTTTTGTGATGAGAACACTTAATCCATTCTCTCAGCGTTTTTCAAAAATGCAATATATGGTTATTCACTATAGTCACCATGTTGTACAGTAGATCTCCTGAATCTATATAATATTTCAAAATCGATTTTAAAAGAGAAGTCAGAGAGAACACAGAGAATGGGAGAGGGTCTTCTTCATATATTCTACTTGCCAAGCCACTGGCTTCTAGATGAGAGAGACTGGTAAGTCAAGAGTAAGTAAACATTAAACATTTCCTTGACGATTTCAATACTAGTTCATTAACTTTGAATTTTATAATATACTGGGAAAGCCACTTGAATTTGCTTATCTGTTCTTCAGTGGTAAAGTGCAGGTATTGAGGCAGGAGACTAGCAAAGGGAATTAAAACTTGGATAAAGGGTGGAGTGAATAAAAGCAGAGACCAGAAGCAAGGTGAAGGGGCAGGTAAGCAAGAAGCAAGATAAGAAGCAGAAGTTAGACCAGGCGCGGTGGCTCATGCTGTAATCCTGGCATTTTGGGAGGCCGAAGCAGGTGGATCACTTGAGATCAGGAGTTCAAGACCAGCCTGGCCAACATGGAGAAACACCCCTCTCTACAAAAAATACAAAACTTAGCTGGGTGTGGTGGCGGGCACCTGTAATCCCAGCTGCTACTTGGGAGTCTGAGGTAGGAGAATCACTTGATCCCAGAAAGTAGAGGCTGCAGTGAGCAGAGAATGCCACTGCACTCCAGCCAAAACAAAAAGTAAGATAGAGAAGAAAGCAAGGCCCCCATGGCCGGCAAGATAAGGACCAAACCAGTAAGGGGCAACTCTTCATGGATAAGCATGTGCATTAAAGAGAAAACGTATCCTTAACATGACCTTGTATGAAAATCAGCTCATTCAGGCTTATGCATATGGACTGCATATCATGTATGTACTTAAAATTATGGGCTGGAGGTGGTGCGCAAGCACACAGGGGCCAAAGTAACTAAGCAACACACCTGTCAATCAAAGAGGCAAACACTGGCTAGAGATTAGGCAGCCTTGGGAAGGGACACACACACACACATACACACACACACACACACACAAAGACGCAAACTGCACCAAGCTGGGGGCTGATCTCATCTCACAGAGGCTGGTTTGCTCTCCCCCTCTTAGAGTGTAATACTGTGCTTAATACACTTTTGTTTCTTTGTTTTGCTGTGGGTGTCTCGTCCAATTCTTTGGGACACCAAAAGCCTGGAACTGCATGGCACCATCTGGTAACAGTATGATGTTCGACACCCTTGGCATTTGTTGTAAATTCCTGCTAATAAAAATGATTTGAAGCTGTTTTCTGTTTTTTTGTTTTTAACTTTTAAGTTCAGGGGTACCTGTGCAGGTTTGTTACATAGGTAAGCTGGTGTCATGGGGGTTTGTTGTACAGATTATCTCATCACCCACGTATTAAGCCTAGTACCTACCAGTTATTTTTCCTGATCCTGTCCCTCCTCCCACCTTCCACCCTCTGATAGGTTCTAGCATCTGTTATTCCCCTCTATGTGTCCATGCGTTCTCATCATTTAGCTACCACTTATAAGTGAGAACATGCAGTATTCGGTTTTCTGTTTCTGCATTAGTTACTAAAGATAATAGCCTCCAGCTCCATCCATGTTTCTTCAAAGGATAGGAGCTCCTTATTTTTTATGGCTGCATAGTATTCTATGGCATATATGTACCACATATTTTTGTTGTTAAAGAAAAAGATAAACTGGTTGTTTTAACGTATAACGTATAAGGCTTACCTACCAATGACATTTGATATTTTCCACTGATTTTAGCCAGCTTTCTTCTCTTTTAAGTAGATCGTACTGGTTTTTGGTAATGTCCCCTCAGAAACAACCTACCCGGAATCTTTGCTTTCTGTTAAGTCAACAAATTGCCACATAACGAGTATGTAATTTAAATTATACAATATTATCTGAAAGGATTTGTGCTGATCATGGACAGGTGTAGGAAGATGTTGGAATCTAGAATATTACACATTTGATATTATCTAGTTCAATCTCTGGCTGACTTAAGTAAATAATGTTGTTTAAGGCATACCTCAAAGGAATTTCAATCTAGTTCAAGATCCAAGGTATGAAAACAAATAAACATGCAAAGTAGGGAGTAAGTCAGTGAAAAAGTGATTTTTATGAATGCCATAGTTCTAAATTGCATTGAGTCAGATTCCCTGCCAAAATCCATGATTGTTCTGTGACTCTTGTGGTTTCTCCTTTTAATTCTTATTTCATCTTATTTTAAAGTATGTACACCATTCATGTGAAAATGAATCAAGGCTGAGGTGGTTTTCTTTTAGTGGTATATTCAACAAAGAATGGCCACTGTGTGGATCCTTCCTTCCAATGAATTTATACTTTGATTCACCACAAGATTGGCATAACTTTGAGAATAGAGACTATTTTAGAAAAAAAAAATCCATAGAATAATACAACATTGAGAAATTCACTACAGATTTAATAAAAATAATAAAAAGGAGTTTCTTCATCCTGTACCATTCTACCACTTTGCTTGCTCAATAGAACCTGAATTATAATATCACTAAATAATGCAAACATGTCCGAGATGCCTGTAGTCACATGAAACATTCATCTGTAAATAGCCATATTCTTGTTGACTTTATTGAGTTGAAAATGGTCCAGTTCATCATTTGAGTTACTCATTCTGAAATTAGTCATTAGAAATCACATTATCCATAGTATTTTAAATTAAGAGGGAAAAACAAGAAGAGTTTGGCCTCCAAAATTACAGCTGAATTGTCACTTGGATTGATTACCCATAAAAGTCATATAAGGTTTGGCATGCCAGAAACCTGTGAAGACAAAATGTGATGATCTTGTGACAAAAATGACAAGTCAATGAGTCAAAAATATGATTAACTTAATAAGAGCGGGAACTCTTAATGGACATGTAAATGACAAACTGATTAGAGAATCTCAGTGAAAAAGGGTGCCATAAACAAAACAGGAAGGCTTCCAGTTGGACCAATGCCCACTTGGGAGGGTATATAAGAGCCCTAACAAAAGAGGAGACATTTGTACCTCAGAATCCTCATCTAAGAAACTGAAAGCTAACCAGACGCCCATTGCCATGGATTGCTGTGCCTCTCGCAGCTGCAGTGTCCCCACTGGGCCTGCCACCACCATCTGCTCCTCCGACAAATCCTGCCGCTGTGGAGTCTGCCTGCCCAGCACCTGCCCACACACAGTTTGGTTACTGGAGCCCATCTGCTGTGACAACTGTCCCCCACCCTGCCACATTCCTCAGCCCTGCGTGCCCACCTGCTTCCTGCTCAACTCCTGCCAGCCAACTCCGGGCCTGGAGACCCTCAACCTCACCACCTTCACTCAGCCCTGCTGTGAGCCCTGCCTCCCAAGAGGCTGCTGATGGATGGCTACTTTGCTCAGTGCCCGACAACGAAGAATCCAGAAGCTGTCCCTTCAGTATTCACTTGCCTCAGTAGTTTGCCAGATGTTAAGGTAGACCAGATGACCCAGATATGAAGAACTTACCTTTGGTTTTAATGGGGGAAAAAAAGAAAAGTATTTTTTATGGTTATTTAGCTGAAAAACCATTTGGTTCCTGTGGGCAGGTGAATGAGTTTTATTAGCAAAATACTGTTTCAATCTTTAAGACCTCAGATTACATGTTCTTGATCATATTGCTTCCTGGCTCTTGTTTCTTGTACTGGGTATTTTCATAGAAGAAAATTTCTTGGTGGGTTTTCCAATAAACTATATTTCTCTGGCAAGATGTGTCATTTGTTTATGTTAGTTTTGGGTATATTTCTTCCATTTTAAAAAGGTAAAAACAGGATGATTATTTTAATCTTTTAAAGAAGACTCTATTGGCAGAATGACTAACATTCTTGCTACTACTAACATGGCTTGCTAACTTTTAACAGGTTCTCTTTCATGTTTGCCTTCTCTTCTCTCTTCTTCCTCAGACAAGTGCAATTTTGGTGTGAACCAACATTTATTTATCTACTCTTCACCAGTAAATTATTGATTTAGTCCTTAAAACAGCACTAATGGATAAGAAAAAATGAAGTTTTAAGCGTTATTCAACATTCTGAAAGTCATAAAGTTAATTACTTAGAAAATCAGAATTCAGCCTCTTGTATGTCTGACTCTAAAGCCCAATTTTTCCTACCACATCATAGAACCTTCAATACTAATGAAACCAGAAGCTTAATGAGCACAGTTATGAAATAAACCCAAAATATGCAAGAGAAATAAAACATGTAAGATTCTTTAACAAAATCCACATCGGATTATAATAGAAAAAGAGTACATTGGTTCATAGATTAAAATTGGCAAGTATTCAATTCTAAAATCTGGGCATTTTGAAGGTGTACCTATTTCAACTTCATTTTCTCTTAGAGAGAACTCAAAGTGGTCAACTCTAGTAACAAGGCACCAGGGACATACCTTTATTTGCCACCATACTCAGCACAGATGTTCTACCACAGTAATCAATAGAATGCCAATACTTTTCAGGTGTCTCAGGTTGAGAGCTAAAACTCTGATTACGTATGCTTTAATTCGTTACTTAATTTTATCAACCTACTTAATTTTATCTCATGAAGATTTTTCTTTTCCAAGCCTAGAGAGAACAAGTATATATTATATATATAATACATCCAATACATTTATGTAACACATATAAATATATGTGTGTATGTATATCTATACACAATACATATATAAAGACACAAGTCAAAATCTGAAAATGCATTGAAATAAAACCACAAGAAGACATGCAAGAAACAGAGTAGGACAAGGAAGGGGAGAAGCAAATGCTTTTTAACAAACTTGTTTTAAAATGTCCTCAATGTACCTGTTAGTGTCTTGAGAGAGAAATTTCTCACGGGATTCCATAGGCTTTTTACAGCTCAACCTTAAATGAACAGAACTTAGCAGCCATGGAGTCTATGGGACACTACAGAGGATATTGTCAACAAGAGATCTAGTCCATTCACTCATTCATTTGTCCATATTTCCTGAGTGTTTGCCCTATGTCAGGCATCATATTGATGCCAGGAGTAAAAAGATAAAAGAAATGCTATTACCTCAAGTCTCAAGTGCCCTCAAGTCTCTCCCAAATCTAGTGAAGAAGAAAGACAAGTTATCATAATAATAATTGCAATGCTGAGGGATTCTGCTGTGACTGGGAGGTGAGCAGCATGGCATGCAAGCATACAGAAAGAATAACTAAAACCCTGATTTGGTGATTCAGTGTCAAAGGTGAGAAATAGCTACGGAAAGCCTCTGAGCTATCCAGTCTAAGCTTTAAAAGATGAATAGGCAGCAGGAGAGGTAGGGAACAGTTGTTCCAGACAGAATAGCAGCTTAATAAATCATGGAGGCAGCGGAAAGGTTGGTGTCTTTAAGCCACAGGAGGTAGTTGGGAATGACTGGATGAACAATGCATTGAAGAGGGTGAGGCAGAGAAGACAGAAATGCAAAGACCCAGACATAAGGGGCTCCTCAAAGCAAAGGGGTTTGGACTGAAACTTTGAAGCAATGAAATATTTCAAGCAAGAGACCAATATAATCATGTTTTGCTTCTGTCTCTTTTCATTATTAATCTTTGATTTACATCTGCACTGTCCCAGATCCCTCCATTGACTATAGAAAGATATAATTAAAACTGGACTTCTTGGATGTGTGAGTGTGCGTGTGCGTATGTGTGTGTGTGTCTAGATTTTTAGCACCCCGAAAATCTACCATCTCATCAAGAATCACCATGTTTTTCCTACATTCACTTAAAGAAAAAAGATACGCGTTGTTTTTAAAAATAAAATGCTTAGTATCTCTGACACATAGTTTAAACTTCCATTTCTAACCACATAAAAGGTAGCTCAATCCCAATAGGTCCTATATTTAGTTTTTAACACACTGGCTCCCGAACCATCTAAGGCAAATCATCTCACCTCTCTATGAATCACTGTCATCATTTATAAACAAAGGAGAGTAATTCTCAGGTCTCTTAGACCACTGCAGAGAAAATACATTTTAATAAAGTGCTGCAAGTCTTGTCAATAAAAGAGAAGAGCTTATTATAATAAACTTGTTGCATTACAACTGTTTGTAATCTGTAACCTTGTCTTATTTATGATTAGAGAAACACAATGTGCTGCATAAACAGTAATAGTTGCTCTAAGCTTTTATGGTGAACTCAAAGTAATATTGTATCCCAGGTAAGAAGCTGATAGCTTTCTGCCATGAAATTCTAATCCTGAGGGTCTGCAAGCCATGTTTCCTTTGTAATGTTTCCCTCAAAATAATTTTTTCTTTTATTTTTTGTCTTTTACTCTTTTTCTTTCCTATTATAATGTATAATAGCAGCAGCTTATAATAATATGTTATGTGTATGAAAAATTCTTCCACCAAACTGTAAACTTCATGAGGGCAAGGATGGTGCCTATCTTGTTTATTGCTATAAATCCAACATTTATCACAGTGACTAGCACATAGTAACTGCTCAGTAAATGTCTGTTGAATTACTTTTTAAATAATAAGTGAAATACTAATCAGTTCTAAGTAAAAGGGTGCACACTTCGGCAGGCATTCATACAAAGATAAATCTGGGGAAAGTCCAGGAACCAGAAGATATCATGAATTCTCCCTTTCAATCAGAGCCATAGGGAGCTTTTCAAATTTTTAGGTTTGTTAATTTATATGCCAACCACTTTCTCTAATCGTAGATGTGATTATTTATTTATTTATTTATTTGTATAAACTAATATAAATGTTTGCTCTTTCCTGTAAGGTTGCTCTCTTACTTACCTTCATCTCATTTTCTTTTCTTCTTTTGACTATGTTTCTTTTATCTTTACCTTGCCTTGAATTTCATCTGTAATTTGTTTCAATCATGATAATAATTTATTTTTGCATAGCATTATATGGTTGTCCATGAGCTTTCACCCTTTTTATCACATGTGAACCTCACAATAATCTTCTAAGTGGAGGAATATGCATGCTATTACCCTGATTTCGCAGAGAAAAAGGATGAAGCTCCTAAAAGTGAATTACTTACCATAACGAGGAAGATAACCAGCAGCACCGGGAACAGTCAAGAGCTATTCTGACTCCTCAGGTGGTCCTCTTGACTACACGTCCCCATTCCCAAAACATACAAACATGCACACCACAATGCACCACTCAACAGGTGTGCCTAAAAGAGGAGGTATGAAGAATGTGAGAAGAACCATGGCTTGCAAGAAGCATGAGACCAAGCTGAGCGGAAATGGTTCGAGGTGTATAAATGATATTGGCCACAAGCCCACCTTGTGCTCCCTCTTAAACACTGAACTATGCCTGCAGTCTAAATAGCGTACTGGTACTAGAACCAGGTCTTTCCTACCACAGCTACATTTGATTTCAGGAAAAAATGCAATACCTTGCAAAAAAAAAAAGAAAAAAAAGAGAGAGAGAGAATGAAATCAAATGTCAACAGATTAATCTAGCTCAGGCTCATAAGTTTCCTTTGGTAATAATTTTACTTGAATTTTAGTTTTGTATTCTTAAGTTATTATTTTATTTAGTCTATATAGACAGAAGCTAAAAATTCAATTTGCCCACAATTAGCAGTGAAGGAAACAAAGCAAGCCAACTCTCAATAGAAGACAGATGGCCAATATGCATATGAAGGAATATTTCAACCTAGCTGGTTATAAAAGAAATACAGACACAACAATCATAAAATTGTGTTTTTCACCAATGAAATTGGAAAACACCTTTAAAATAAAGTATCTGTCAAAGGTATACGAAATGGGAATTCTTAATCAAACACATCTGGTGGAAATAGATAATTTGAAAAAAAAAGTAGGTAAATAGAACCATTCTGAAAAACAGTATGGCAATGATATGAAAGGCCTTAAAAATACTGGAAATTAACATTTGCCCCTATAATTCTACCAAATAATTAATTCTGTTTCTGAAATAATCAAAAATATGCACAAAGATTTACATACAGAGGTGCTCTGTTGCCAAAATTATTGTAGAGAAAAGTGGAAAATAACCTCAATGCATAATAATATAAAATTTTAAAGTAACATAGAAGTGCAATTATATAATAAATGCTAAGAAATATTAAAAGTAACACTATCAAATATCCTTTAAAATATAAGATAATTATATATATATATAATATATATGCACACACACAAAGGCAAGTTTCAGAACCTATGCACAATATGATTCCAGTAATGTAATGTAATGATAAACAATGTATACAAAATATTTTGTAGTAAAAAACTAGAATAATAAGCGTTTTTTAAAGTTTTTCCATATTTCTTAATGGCATATTTCTTCATGTTAATGTAATTTTGATCTTCAAAAGCCTCAAAGCTAAAAGAAAGTAAAATTAAGTTCAACTCTTTAAAACAAGAATACTTTATCAGACAAATTGGTATAGATAAAGTGACAGATTAAAAATAAAGCAGCACTGGAGAGCAGGCCCACATATTACAGACTCACTGTCATGCAATATTCCCCAGCAGGGCTGGTGTTGAAAATATAATAACAGAAGGCTTTGGTGATACCTCATAAAGCTTGTGTTCCAGTGACAAATAGCAAGGGTAATCAGTTCAGATTTAGCAACGAACTCAAATAAAAGTTAATTAGGAAAATGGGGACTCTTTACAGAGTCTAAATGTCAAACAAATTAAAGAATAATGGGTACACTAACATAAACAAGAACCAGGAAAGAAGCCTCTTGGCTGGACCAACTCCCAGTGGAGAGGGTACATAAGAGCCCCAGAGAAAGGAGAGATATTCACACCTCAGAAGCCTTATCCTTCTTTTCAATCAAACCCATAAATACCACAGACTCTAATAGCCATGGATTGCTGTGCCTCTCGAGGCTGCAGTGTCCCCACCGGGCCTGCCACCACCATCTGCTCCTCTGACAAATCCTGCCGCTGTGGAGTCTGCCTGCCCAGCACCTGCCCACACACAGTTTGGTTACTGGAGCCCACCTGCTGTGACAACTGTCCCCCACCCTGCCACATTCCTCAGCCCTGCGTGCCCACCTGCTTCCTGCTCAACTCCTGCCAGCCAACTCCAGGCCTGGAGACCCTCAACCTCACCACCTTCACTCAGCCCTGCTGTGAGCCCTGCCTCCCAAGAGGCTGCTAATGGATGGCTACTTTGCTCAGTGCCTGAGATTGAAAAAGTCAACATAGAAGCTTTAGCATTCACCTATCTCAGTACCTACAACTAATGTACTCTGCTTTAGAAATTGGAACAAGGATGGTACTACCACAATCACCCCCTGCAAAAAAAAAGAGACCAAGAAACTTTCAATGACCATTCAGCTATAACCAACTGCAGTTTGAATCAGTGGATGCCTATAGCTTCCTGAAGCTGTTCGATTCCTTCATATTAAAGTGTCTCTTTCTGTGGGTGGTTTGGGAATTCTGTTTTCAGTCTTGGGTGGTATCTTTCTGAAAATTAAGGAAGTTCTTCATGATTATCCTAATAAATTTTACATCTCTGGCATAGCACAAGTGTCTACAATTACTTCTGTTTATTTCTGTTCATTCATTAAATGCGTTTCTTAACTCTGAACATTGGCATTTAAAGAAAAACTGGAAACATTAGTGAAACTGAAAATGGTGGCAGTATGGACAAAAATTTCTTAATTTTGCTGTTCTTGCTGTTTTAAGAAAATTAAACATCCTTGCATGTAAGATGGTCTAGTACATCGGCATATTTGAAAGTAGACTTTTCCTGACTTGTCCTCCCAAAAAATGGTTTCAGACAGGTTGAGAAATACTGAACATTACCCAAACACCAAATATGACAAAATATATAAACTAATCCAGGTGACATGATCTATTTATGAAAAAAATATAATAATGTCATTATTTATTCAACTAAGATTTATTAAATGTCTATTGTGTGTCCTGTGTTTTATTGTCTCTGCTGAAAATAAGCTAACCATCTGGCAGGTGAAGCAAATACAAACACAACATCCATTTGTTTCTTCCTACGGTTAATAATTATCGAATGCCAGTTGCTGTGTTATAATAAAAAAAGATGTGTTCTACCAGCAGTATTAGTAAAGTGCTGTGGGATCATAAAATTGAGAACAATGAAGACTGTTGTCATGGGGGTAAAGTGGGAAAGACATAGTCAAAGAGGAATTGACTGCAGCTAGTCATCAAAGGGATATGGAGGAAAAGAAAATATCAAAGAAAGACTAGACAGTGGAGTTATGTCACCAATTGAGCCTAGGAGCCGAGAAGGAGAAGAGAGTTCAAGATGGAAATACTCTGTTCTTCTTGCTCTACACAGGTCATGTTTGCAACACGAGTAGCTATATCTAAATGGGGTTTGGAAAGTTATTCTGGAGAGGAAGAAGATATACGTAGGTAAGTAAAGAAGACTGTGTAAAAGTTCTCAAGTACTTACAGAAGGCACAGTTGCAAATACGCTGGCTGAAATTCCATCAGGCATAGCAAAGAGTGGCTGCTGGGTGATTAGAAGCTGAGTGGAGATACCAGAGGTCATTCACTATTAACAGACTTTGAGGTTCCAGCCTAGCCAGGGTAGAAAAAAGGATTGAAAAAGAAATTGAAGAAACTAAGAAGCCTGTGGGAAAGTACCAAGTGGTGAAATGAGGATGAAATTGGAGTCTCAGAATGAGAGGAGTTAAAGAATAGGAAATAAAAATTTGGGAGGGAATAAAAGCAAAAATTTTCGAAATTTGGTGACATTTTATTAACCCATATATTCAAGAGTCTCAATAAACACTTAGCAGGATAATTGCAATACACACACACACACACACACCACCTACACATATCATAGTCAAACTGCTGAATACCAATTAAGAAAAAAAAACAAATCAAATAGAAGGCAGCAAAGAAAAAATGGATGTCTGACTTCTTTTTAGGTAAAATGGATGTCAGAGGAAAATCAAACCTCATTTAAAAGGTCCTAAAGGAAAAAAAATTGTGAACACTACAGTCTGCAAAAACAACCTTCAAAATTAAAGAAAAAATAAAAACACTTTTAGGTGAATAAAGCTGACTTCTTTTTTAAGTGCCTGAAGATCTACACTATAAGAAACAATAAGGAAGTCCTTTTGGTTTAAGAGTAATTTTACCTCAAAGACAAAAAACAAACAAACCAGTTCAGAAATGGACAGAGAACTTGAATAGACTTTCTTCAAAGAAGATATACAAATAGCCAATCAGCACAGGCAAAGGTACTCAGCATCACTCACTAATCATTAGCAAAGTGCAAATCAAAACTACAATGAGATACTACCTCCCACCCATTAGGATGGCTGCCATAAAATAAATAAATAAATAAATAAATAAATACAAAAAACAAAACAGCCAGGTGTGGTGGCTTATGCCTATAATCCCAGCACTTTGGGAGGCCAAGGCAGGTGGATCACTTGAGGTCAGGAATTTGAGACCAGCCCAGCCAACATGGTGAAATCCCGTCTCTACTAAAAATACAAAAATTAGCTGGGCGTGGTGGTGGGCTCCTGTAATCCCAGCTACTTGGGAGGCTGAAGCAAGAGAATCACTTGAACCCAGGAGGCAGAGGCTGCACTGGGCCAAGATGGCACCACTGCACTACAGCCTGGGTGACAGAGCAAGATTCCGTCTCAAAAAACAAAAAACAAAACAAAACCCCTTATATATATATACACACATATATATGTAAAATATATAATATATACATTATATATATATAGAGAGAGAGAGAGAGAGAAATTGGAACCCTCAAGCATTGCTGGTAGGAAGGTAAAATTGTACAGTGACTGTGAAAAACAATATAGCACTTCCTCAAAAAATTAAATGTAGAATTGCCTTATGATCTTGCGCTTCCACTTCTGGGTATATACCCAAAAGAATTGAAAGCAGGGTCGCTAAAAGACATTTGTATACTTGCGTTCATAGCAGCAATAATTGCAATAGCTAAAATATGAAAACAAACAAGTGCTCATTGATAGACGGATGGATAATCAAAATATGGTACATCCATACAATGGAATATTATTCAGCCCTAAAAGGGAAGGACTTTCTGACACATGCCACAACATGAATTAACCTTGAAGATGTTGTGCTAAGTGAAGTAAGCCAGCACAAAAAGATACTATTCACTTATATGCTTTCACTTATATGAGGTAGTTAAAAGTAGTAAAAAAATCATAGAGATGAAAAGCAGAACAATGGTTGCCAGGACACAAGGGCGGGCTTCATGGGCAGTTGTTTAAAGGGAACAGAGTTTCAGTTTTAAAAGGTGAAAAGAGTTATGGAGAAGGACGGTGGTGATGCCCACACAACATTTGAATGTACTTAATACCACTGGATTGTACACTTAAAAATAGTTAAAATAGTAAATTTTATGTTACTTGTATTTTGCCACAATAAAAAAATTTTAAGAGTAATTATACAAAATGAAGTCTCAGACCTTCAGGAAGGAAAAAAACACTGAAAATGGTAAATACATGGATAAAATATGAGACTTTCTCTTTTTCCTTTTCTCGATATTCTAAAAGACAATGATTTAAAGCAAAAGCAATGGCATTGTAGGGTTTCTATATGTAGAAGTAAGCAATTTGACAATAATAGCACAAAGAACAGAAAGGGGCAAAAAGAACCCTACTGTGGTAAGGTTCTCGTATTTTACATAAAGTGCTACAGTATTAATTCCAAGTGGAGTACAAAAATGTAAAGATGCATATCATAATCCTGAGAGAACTACCCCACCCTTTAGAAAAACCATTAAAAGATATATACTTATAAAGCTAGTATAGAAAATAAAGTAGAATGTTTGATTGGCCCAAAATAAGATGAGAAATAAAAGGGAAAGGAAGCAAAAAACACATGGAAATAAAAAACAAATAGCAAGATGGTAGATTTTAAACCAACCATATCAATAATTACATTAAATATAAAGTAAGCACTCCAATAAAAAGTCAGAGGATGTCAGATTGGATTTAAAAAGAAAACCCAGCACTATGCTGTTTTAAAGTGATTCACTTTAAATATAAAAGCACAAGAAAATTGAATTATGTAGTCTGAAAAAAAGACATACCACGCAAATAGTAATGATAAGAAAGAAGTTTGGTCACTTAAATATTAGATAATTTTAAGGTGATATTTCATAATGAAAAAGGGAAAATTCATCAGGTGGTCCTATAATCCTTAAAAATATGACCCAATAACAGAGCTTCAAAATAAATAAGGCAAAAAATCACAGAAGTCAAGAGAGAAATAGATGAATCCAAAATCACATTTGGTGATTTTAATATCCCCTGTCAGGATCTGAGAGAACAAACAGATAAGAAAATTACCAAGGAGAAAGAAGATTTGAATAATAGTATCAAACAATTTTACTCAGTTACATTTACAGAATGTTACCCCCTACAATTGCAGAATATACATTCTTTTCAAATGCATAAGGAACTCTCACCAAAATAGACTATATTCTGGGCCATTAAATTTGTCTCCATAAATTCCAAAATCTAACAAAATATGTTATCTGACCACAATGGAATTAAATGAGAAATCAATCAGATACTTAGAAAAATCACCAAATATTTGAAAATCAAACAACACAGTTCTAATAACCTATGGATCAAATAATAAATACCAATACAGCTTAAGAAATATTATGAGCTGAATGATAATGAAAACAAAAGATTTTAAAAATTTATGGGATACATACAGCATTGGATTAGTAGAAAATATACAGCAAATGATTATATTAGAAAATAAGATTTACATCTTTATCACCTTCATTTATCTCTTCATCAATCACTTAAGTTTTCATTTCAACTAAATAGAAAAAGAACAATTAAAATTCAAAGTAAGGAGAAAGAAATAAATAATAAACATAATATCAGAAATCAATGAATAGAAAACGAGGAAATTAATGAAGCTAAAATTTGATTCTTTGAAAGGATTCATAAAGTACTTCTATTTAGTTATTTTTTAGTTGGCAAATAATAATTGTGTATATGTATATTTGTGGGGTACAATGTGGTGTTTTGATTTATGTATGCATTGTGGAAAGATAAATCAAGCTAAGTAACATATCCATCACCTAAGCACCTGATCATTGTTTTATGGTGAGAACATCAAAAATCTACTCTTTCAGCAACCTTGAAATAAACAATACATTAGTATTAATCTGATGAACATCAAGCCAGATTGATGGGGGAAGCATGAGATAAAACACAAATTACCAATATCTGGAATTAAATAGTGAGAATTTATAGACACTGCAGATACTAAAATTCATGATAAGGATTATTATGAACAACTTTATTTCAGTATTTTTGCAACTTAGGTGAAGTGAACAAACTCCTTGAAAAATGCAACTTTCACACAAAATGAAATAGAACAACTGAATAGCATTGTGAGGTTTCTATAAGTAGAGGTAAGCAATTTGATGTAGAGGTCAGCAAATATACATATATTTGCGTGTGTGTGTGCATGTGTGTGTGTGTGTGTGTGTGTGTGTGTGTGTGTGTGTGTGTGTTTGAAATGGAGTCTCACTCTCACCCAAGCTGGAGTGCAATGGTGTGATCTCGGCTCACCGCAACATCTGCCTTCCAGGTTTCAGCAATTCTCATGCCTCAGCCTCCCGAAAAGCTAGGACTACAGGTGTTCGCCACTATGCCCAACTAATTTTTGTATTTTTAGTAGAGACAAGCCTTCAGCATATTAGCCAGGCTGGTCTCAACCTCCTGCCCTTAAGTGATCTGCCTGCCTGGGCCTCCCAAAGTGCTGGGATTACAGGCTTGAGCCACCGCGCCCAGACATTTTTTTTCCTAGTTAAAAACAAAACACAACTTTTTCACATGGGAGACTCCTGGAAGAGGTGGCCTCACTGGACTCCATCAAACATTTAAGGAATAAATAACACTAATCTTACAGAATTTCATGAAATAAAGAGGAAACATTTCCCAATTTAATTTATGAACAGTATTACTCCATTCTCACACTGTTATAAAGAAATATCTGAGACTGGATAATTTATAAAGGAAGGAGGTGTAATTGAGTCCCAGTTCCACATGGCTGGGGAGGCCTCAGGAAACTTACAATAATGGTGGAAGGGGAAGCAGGCACTTCTTACATGGGGGCAGGTGAGAGAGAGCGTGGGAAGGAGGAACTGTCACACACTTACAAAACCATTAGATTTCCTGAGAACGAACTCACTATCACAAGAACAGTATACGGGAAACTGCCCCCATGATCCAATCATCCAGGTCCCTCCCCTAACACGTGGGGATTTGGGGTTTATAATTTGAGATGAAGTTTGGGTGGGGACGCAGAGCTAAGTCATATTGTGAACCCAGTATGTAACTTGATACCAAAACCTAACAAGATCATTAGAAGAAAAGAAATTTACAGGAAATATTTCTCAAGAACATAGATGGGGGTGGAAATCCATTTGCTAATCCTATCAACTAACTGAATAAAACAATTTACATAAAGGATAATGTAGAGTGACCAAGTTATTCAATATGATTGATCATGTTGTAGGGTCACCCAGATCATCCCTCCACTTCCTTCTTTGCCTTGGGAAACAGATTACCTTGACCACCCTGTGGCCCAGCCAGCTGTGTGTTTCCCCTGCAGCTTGAACCCGAGCTGACCCTTGAACATTCCCAGGCACTGTTAAAAGTTATTTAGGTTGTTGCCCAAAACAGTGAAAATCAACCAAGTTGCTGCACGTGGATACTAGCTCTGGCCCTGAGCCAAATTTCTTAAGGCCTCATGTAAACTCTTATAACCTGTCGCACAAATGTTAAAAGCAACAAGACAACTGCTATAGCAGAGATGCGTGCAAAGTGCTCTGGGAGGAGCCACATCTCCACATGAGGCAGTTGAACGACGTTTCAGCTGAGTCTTGACATGTGAGTTCATCCAGGAAACGAATAGCAGAAGAGCATTTGACCAAGAAAATAGTACCTACGAAGCTTGAAGGATGGCTGGAGCTTAGGGTTTGTGAGACAGAACATCAGGAAGTGAGCCCAGAAAGGTAAATTGGCACCAGGTTAGGGAAGGTCATATTTGCCAAGGTAGAAAGTTTGCATTCCATAAGTGGAAGGCGACAAAAAGCAGGTTTGTATTTTAGGAAAATGATTCTGGCAGCCTAGGTGGATGTTGTAAGGTAAGAGCATAGTATTATGCAAAATAAACTACCGTGTTGTTGTCGGTTTTTTTTTTTATCATGGCCTTTCATGATGTCTATTTCTTTTTCTCTATTCCCAATGTTCCTTTCTTCTGGTGATGATATGCTATAGAAATTGTCACGGGTGATTAGCAACTATCTGGGGCTGGTGGCATGGGGGTAAGAAGAATTTATCAAGATAGTTGTAGGTAAAGAAAGGCAGATATATTAGAGAACGTATGAAAATACGTTGCAAGGAAGCAATGGGCAGCACAGCAGAGAAGGGGCTGTCTGCAAGGAGACAAAGGCGTGCTGGAGATTTTACAGGATGGTGCTTGTACTGTGTGCTGAAGAGGGTTTGTGTGGTACTGATAACACTAAGGTTGCAGTGAGCTAAGTTACATTTTTCTATCAGCTGAAGGTCTGGTGATAGCTGGGTGCAGGAATATTGTGCAGGAGGGCTATGTGTCCTGGACCATGAAGAAGGTGAGTCTTATACATTACCTGCTTTCTTTCTTTGTTTTTTGTTTTTTGGTTTTTTTTATTTATTTATCACATTGTGCAGGTTAGTTATATATGTATACATGTGCCATACTGGTGCGCTGCACCCACTAACTTGCTTTCCTCTGGTCCTGCCAGCCTGACTTCTTTTCCCTAAGGAGGACTCCACAGAAATGAATTCTGGGTGATTTCTATATTCTACGATGGAGACTATAGCTATAGATCATTATACAACACTACCTAATTAATCAAGACCAAAATAAATAGTCCTACCTGCAGGACAATAACCAGTAACAAATAATTTACAATTAGAAATTAGTTCCAGACAGAAGGAAATATTTCTTATTTTACCTGCACTTACATGACTGCATTTTAGCTAACTGGAGCCTGTGATGGACAACCAAAACATGGGTTTTCTTCACAGATATTTTTCTTTTGACTCATTAGGTTACTGTGAAAAGATAATTTTCTTTCAGAGATTTGTAATTTTTCAGAAGTGTTTTTGAATCCTTGAACTCATATTTGTTGCAGAGCAGCGTCAATATACCATGAGACACTCTAAGAACTTTTTGCATAAGTGTTGATGTGTAAAGAGAATCACTAAATTCAAACCCAGCTCTGCCCAGGGAGTAATAAATCCTAAGAGACTATTTTAACTCACTTACATATGTTCTTCTGGTTTGGTTTGGTTTGGTTTCTACTATCAGGTACCTAGGAAGTAGCACTCAAGATTAGGAGAAAAAATAAGTTTATTCTGGATCAAAAATTTTTTAACTTTTTCAGATTAATCTGTTTTTTTCCTATAATGTTCTTAAAAATTCTAGAGACAATTTTCTCTATGCACCTTTGAAAATGAAATAAATGTAACGACTAAAACCAAGCAAAGTGAAATAGATTATCCTTCACAATGGAGGTGAAATCCAAGAGATAATTCAAAAAAATTACGTATCTCAAGTTCCTGTCTGTCAGATTTGGCACCAGAGATTTCATCCAGTGGAATTACTGATTTGGAACCTAAATAGAATTTTATTTTCCAAGTTCCAGTATTTTCAATTTTCATGAAATTCAGGCCTTCATAAATAAATAAATAGGAGAAAACAGGCTCTACATCTCAGAAGAAAAGATTCCTGTGGGTTCCTTGCCCCTACTCTGAAGTATAATCATTAAGGAATTCCCAAGGGACTAAAAGGTTATAACTTAGAATTTATATTTCACTCTTATTAGGAATACAGGTAAAATAGTATAACTTATCTAACAATAAGCAATGAGAAATGTGGAGAAGGCAAGTTTCAGGAAATCAAAGATCATAATTCCAGCTCTAACCAATTTATATTTTAGCCTGCAGAAAAACAAGTTATTCCTATCAGTTATGTAAAGTGACTTTTCCATTTGTACGCAGGTAGACATGGTTTGCACACACACACACACTTTAAACCCAATATATAGCTCACTCCTCCAGTCTTTATCAGCACATGCTCTGAGATCACAAAAAGCATTGAAAGATTACTAATCACACTGACCATTTTTATGGTGGTGGCACAAACAAATAATTGTCATTTTGTGAGCTGTAATACTAATTTTAAAAGGGGACACAAGCAATCAATCCACAGAATCAAAATCTGTGGACATATTATTTTCCTGATTTGTAATGAGTTGTATCTATAATTATTCATTGGCCAAATTTTCTCTTTCTTTTATTATTCTGTCAAAAGCACAATGCTTCCTATGACGATTTTCTGAAATAAGTGTTTTGTCTTGCACATGGAAATGGTGTGGGTCCTGCTTTGGTAACCTAAAGTTATCCCTATTTTATGAGGCATAAAACTCTTCCTCAGTAAATAAACAACTCTAATGAGATGTTTGTACGAAAACTGGCACCATCAGTGATAAAGAAAACATCCGGTGCAGTCTGTAAACACCCATTTTGGGGGGTTATAAAACTCTCAGGAGAGGAGAGTTTTGGAGTCAAGGCAACTGAAGTTTTGCAGCCAGTCTCTGTCTTTGCTTCTGGAAGGATGACTTCTGACTGCTCCTCCACACACTGCTCTCCTGAGTCCTGTGGCACGGCTTCCGGTTGTGCACCTGCCTCAAGCTGCTCCGTGGAAACAGCTTGTCTCCCCGGTACCTGTGCTACATCCCGATGTCAGACTCCAAGCTTCCTATCCAGGTCTCGCGGGCTGACTGGTTGCCTCCTGCCATGCTACTTTACTGGGAGTTGTAATAGTCCCTGCTTGGTGGGGAACTGTGCCTGGTGTGAGGATGGGGTGTTCACTAGCAATGAGAAGGAGACGATGCAGTTCCTGAATGACAGACTCGCCAGCTATCTGGAGAAGGTGCGCAGCCTGGAGGAGACCAACGCAGAGCTGGAATCCAGGATCCAAGAACAATGTGAACAGGATATCCCAATGGTGTGCCCGGATTATCAGCGTTACTTCAACACCATTGAAGATCTCCAACAAAAGGTCTGTGTCCTGTTGCCCTAGTGCTCCACCTTCCTGATCTATGGTTTGCTTTATCTTTCTACTAGAAGGGGCTGTTTTACAGAAGGAAACCAAGGGAAAGGAAAATTCTAAGAGTTAGTGATACATAGGGGAGAGCACCGGACTGAAAGTCAGAAAACCTCAGCATCAGCCCCAGAGCTACCCCTGATTACTGAGTGACTATAATAAAGTAACTTGCCTGTAGACTTTTCCTTCATCATCTATAGAATGCAGAAAAACTGTATTATATCCAAAATCGCTTTTGTACGTGACACTGAACATTTACATTATCTGAACACAGATCATGAAATGCCATCTTTTTAACTACCTAGTAATCATTTTCTTCTCTCCATGAATTTCTATTATTATGGGAGAGGATATACTCATAATACAAACTACTGATGGAGAAAACATTAATGGTGTTCAACTGCCTGAGAATGTTGCAAAATGTCTTATGTTATTAAAAAACTAAACCTTTTTATTTCATTATTTTGTTTCTAAATTGGCTCTGCTTTTTTTCTTCATGAAGTGACAAGGTTAATAAAAAAAAGCAGGCTGAGGGTGATTTTATACTTTCTTATAAAGACTTTCAAAAGATAGCTAATGGCATAGCTGTTGGATAGAAGTTTACTTAGGTTTCTCTCAAAGAATCATTTATCACATAATGACTTGCTTCCCAGATCTTATGCACGAAAGCAGAGAATTCTAGACTTGCTGTACAGCTTGACAACTGCAAACTGGCCACTGATGACTTTAAGTCAAAGTAAGTTTAATTTAATTTTATTTTATTTATTTATTTTGAGATGGAGTTTCACTCTTGTCACCCAGGCTAGAGCTCAATGGTGCTATCTCAGCTCACTGCAACCTCTGCCTCCTGGGTTCAAGTGGTTCTCCTGCCTCAGCCTCCTGAGTAGCCGGGATTACAGGCAGGCGTGCACCGCCACACCTAGCTAATTTTTGTATTTTTAGTAGAGACAGGGTTTCACCATGTGGGCCAGGTTGGTCTCGAACTCCTGACCTCAGGTGATCTGCCCGCCTTGGCCTCCCAAAGTGCTGGGATTACAGGCATGAGCCACCACGCCCGGCTTTAATTTTAATTTGAAAATAACTTATGGCTCTCTCTCTCTCAATCTCTCTCTCTCACACACACACACACACACAAATATTCTCTATATAATATTTTAAAGTTAAGAATGTTTTAAAAGCTTGAATTTATCATTACTTAGGAATTAAGAGAAATTATGCACATGGCTTCCTGAAGTCCGTGTGTCGATCCTCCATGTATCCCCACACTTTGCACAGCGTTCAGCAAAGTAAGCGTTGGATTTCTCTTTTGCTGTGAAAGGTACGAGAGTGAACTGTCCCTTCGCCAGCTGTTAGAGGCTGACATCAGCAGCCTGCATGGGATCCTGGAGGAACTGACCCTGTGCAAATCTGATCTGGAGGCCCATGTGGAGTCTCTGAAGGAAGATCTCCTTTGCCTTAAGAAAAACCATGAAGAGGTAAGGAAAGTGGCAACTCCGCTGAAGGACTCCGAGAGTAACGTACTTACATTGACAGATGATCTGTTGATGTTTGTAAATCGAATTTGGGCAGATGTTGTTTAAGCTGGAATAAAACTACTTGAGGCAGGGCCAGGCATGGTGGCTCACACCTGTAATCCAAGCACTTTGGGAGGCTGAGGCAGGAGGATCACAAGGTCAGGAGTTCGAGACCAGCCTGACCAATATGATGAAACCTCATCTCTACTAAAAATACAAAAATTAGCTGGGCATGGTGGCAGGCGCCTGTAGTCCTAGCTACTCGGGAGGCTGAGGCAGGAGAATCACTTGAACTCAGGAGGCGGAGGTTGCAGTGAGCCGAGATCTTACCACTGCACTCCAGCCTGGGTGACAGGGCGAGACTCCATCTCAAAAAACAAACAAACAAACAAACAAACAAAAACTACTCGAGGCATTATTACTATTCAACCTGATCATTCCAGTGTGTCTCTGATTTAAGGTGTGAAATAACCCCTAGACAGCGCCAGAGGAAGGAATCAAACTCTTCTCCTGCCCTTGCCTTTGTGGAGGAGGTAACTTCACAAATGGCTTCCTTTGGAGGCTTTATGCCACCCCTAGCTCCAGTCCACAGGGTATGAAAATCAGGCTGAGGAACAGACTGTGAAGTCCATTTCAAAAAAGGGATAAAGACTGTGCACTATCTGGACCAGTGTTTTTAAATATTCCGCATTTATAAACTTCTAAAAATCATAAAATATACAGCCACTGATATATTGATAAAGCTAGAAAATGAAAAGCTGAATGATGTAACAAAGTACATTTGCTCTTTGAACGTTTGTTGATGACAATCATAGCTAACATTTATTGACACCTTACTATGTGTCATAATTAACTTTTATAAGTTAATTATGTGTAGATTGACTCTTCTAGATCTCACAATAACTTTCTGGAAAAATGTCCAATTATTATGTCCATTTTACAGACGAAGAAACTGAGGCCCTTCTAAGTGGTGAAAAGAGATTCAGCCCAGGCAATCTGAATCAAAATCTCACACTTTTACCCACTGCTCCAAAAAACAGAAGTAGAATGCCATTGGATGTCAAATGGATTTTTCCCCACCATTCTGTGACATTCTTTACACCATCCCACTTTCAGGAAGTCAACTTGCTTCGTGAACAGCTTGGCGACCGCCTCAGTGTGGAGCTGGACACTGCCCCCACCCTTGACCTCAACAGGGTCCTGGATGAGATGCGCTGTCAGTGTGAAACGGTGCTTGCCAACAATCGCAGAGAAGCTGAAGAATGGTTGGCTGTTCAGGTCAGTACCCAGATTGAAAAAATGTCAGGCTTACAGACTTCTGCCTTTTTTGAATTCTCTAATGGTGTCTGTGTTTCAGACAGAAGAGCTGAATCAGCAGCAACTGTCCAGCGCGGAGCAGCTGCAGGGCTGCCAGATGGAGATCTTGGAACTGAAACGCACAGCCAGTGCTCTGGAAATTGAGCTCCAAGCACAGCAAAGCCTGGTGCGTGAGGCAAAGGCAGTGTCCGTTGTGTCACTGATAAGTCAGGCCCTGAGATGTTAAGCCCTCTTCCATATCCGAGGATCACATTTCCTTGCCTTTCCCGAGTACTGCCGTTTACCCAGCTATTAATAGAAGCAGAAGTGACAGGTCCACAGCTTGTCCTCTAAGATGCCTTACCTTCACTCCTGGGCTTGAGTCTGATGCTGCAGCAGCCTCCAGAGACAGGGAGGGAGAAGCAGAGCTGGAGAGAAACCTCCGGGCCATGGTCGCTTAAGCATTCTGGCAGGTTTTAATTCTCATTTGATTCAGGCCAGTTTTCCAGGCTCACTGTTATATCTAAAACAAAGAATCATTTTCAAACATTTCATCCTACAGTTTCCCAGGATCTACACTTCAACCTTATCCTTCACTGCACCACCCCCCACTCAAGCAACAGGAACACCATGCGTTCAAGATGACATGAACCAGTTCTGGTCAAGCACCACTGTGTGCATGTCATTAGGCCCTGCGGAGAACACCTAGAAGAACAATAGCTGAGCATTCATCCTGTGAGAGGCACTATGCTGATTTAAGGCTCACAGTAACTTTACCGGATAGATACCTTTATCCCATGACACAGATAAGGAAAACTGAGACTCAGATTAAGTAACTTGCAAAGGATGCAATTCTAAGAGGCAAACTTGGAAGCTGAGTTCAGCCAGTTGAATCCCAGAGTCTCTTCTCTCTCTCTTTTTAAATTTATTTTTATTGATATATAATATGCGTAAATTTTTTTTACGTAGATGTGATATTTTGTTACATGCATAGAATGTGTAATGATCAAGTCAGGATATTTAGAGCATCCATCACCTCAAGTATTTATCATTTCTATGTGTTGGGAGCATTTCAAGTCCTCCCATCTAGCTATTTTGAAATGCACAGTGTATTGTTGTTAACTGTAGTCACACTTCTCTGCTGTCCAACATGAAAACATATTCTTTCTGTCTAACTGTATGTTTGCACCCATTAACCAACCTCTCTTCATCCCCTTACCACACATATGCCAGTCCCAGCCTCTGGTATCCAGAGCCTCTTCTCTTAATAGCACTATACTACCCCTCCCTGCCAAGAGCCCAAACTCAATCTTTCCTCTCATATGTTGTGGATAGTCCTTAAGCTTCACAAATATGTCATGTATTGCTGTAGTCATAGTGGTGGTAGTGATAGTTGACACGTAGAACAGTGGCAGTATGGCTGGCACTGTTCTAAATGCTTTACGCACATTAACTCTTTTTTTTTTTTTTTGGACGGAGTCTCCCTCTGTCGCCCAGGCTGGAGTGCAATGGCATGATCTTGACTTACTGCAAGCTTTGCCTCCCGGGTTCACACCATTCTCCTGAGTAGCTGGGACTACAGGCGTCCACCACCGTACCCAGCTAATTTTTTATATTTTTAGTAGAGACGGGGTTTCACCGTGTTAGCCAGGATGGTCTCGATCTTCTGACCTTGTGATCCGCCCGCCTCGGCCTCCCAAAGTGCTGGGATTACAGGCCTGAGCCACCGCGCCCAGCCCGCATATTAACTCTTAATCTTCACAACCGTCTAATGAAACAGATACTTTGTATTCTCCACTATACAGAGAATAAAACTGAGACTCACAGAAGCTAAATAATTTGCCAGTGGTCACATAGCTAGAAAAGGGTAAGCAGGAATTTGAAAGTAGGCACTCTGGCCCGAGAGACTGCACTTCATGGTCCTTTGGACAATGTTTCCTCCCGCAGACAGAATCTCTGGAATGCACCGTGGCAGAAACCGAGGCCCAGTACAGCTCCCAGCTGGCCCAAATTCAGTGTCTGATCGATAACCTGGAGAACCAGCTGGCCGAGATCCGCTGCGACCTGGAGCGACAGAACCAGGAGTACCAGGTGCTCCTGGACGTGAAGGCCCGGCTGGAGGGTGAGATCAACACGTACTGGGGCCTGCTGGACAGCGAGGACAGCAGGCAAGTTCCACAGTTACTCATGAAATCCCCCAGAGTCACAAAGAGGCTGATGTAAAAGAATCCTGTTTCCCCAAAGTCTGGACAAGTTCAGACCTCCCCAGTGTGTTTAGGGATCTTCTTAAAAAAGTGCTGAAAAGTGGCTGAGGTTAAGAACATGACACTAGAGATATTTTTAAAATATTCTAAAGGCAGATTAATTATTAGTGTAACATTTCATGCTGGCATCTCCCTTTGTTCCTGTTTTCCACTAAAGGAAAATCAGGAATAGGCCTAAGATAACATTTGCAAAATCAAGAAAAAATATAAAATACTATTCAACTGCCACTGCTACAGTGAACATGAAGTGGCAATTCTGGGTGCAGAGAAGAAACAGGCTTCAGTCAATGCTATTGTGCAGAGTTTTTTTCAGAACATAATTTGTAGGGCAAATTTTGACACGGTTTTTCTGAGTTGCCATTTTATCAACATTCCCTTGTTAATCTTGGTTGAAAATCGATTTTTCCCCAGGCTTTCCTGTAGCCCATGTTCGACCACATGCACCTCGAGCAACACTTGTGAGCCATGCTCAGCCTATGTCATCTGCACTGTTGAAAACTGCTGCTTGTGAATGTTAAGGACAGCAGGTAGAGGAATCAAAGCCAGCAGCATCCTAGAAAGGAGATGGGGCTTCAACCAGGGACATCCAAACCGGAAGCACAAATCCAGGAGGCTCTCATATCCTGGAATTGCCCTCCAGGTATCCTCAGTCTTTCTGCTTTACTATTTCCTCTCCTTCCGGCTTATTTGTGGTATACTGGAAGCCCATAAAGCATTCTTGCTCATCTCCAAATAAAACGTGTTTTATTCCTTTAGCGTGGTAAATATAGCTCTATGGCTGATTACTGTTGATAGAATATTCATTTTATGGCAAGGAAATCATCTAAACCCATAACCATAGTTTCAATGTACATAAACCCAGGCTGAAAATATTTTTTAACTCCTCAAATACAAATAAATTAATGAACCCATGAGAAATGTCATATATCTTAGAAAATAGTTGTGTGTATCTTTCTGAGGAAAAATATTAGGAATAAAATATGATAAAATGTATTTTTTGATTATAAAAGTACTAGATTCTCTTTTTTTAAATTTGGCTCATTAAAAGGGAAAAGGTCACTTATGATTTCATCTTCCAAACAGCCATAGTCAATATTTTGGGGTACTTTCTTCCAGTTTTCTTTCTTATAATAGATTTTTCCACACAGCTATAATCATACTAACATATGCACACACTTGTGTAAACTTTCTTTCATTTATGTCATCTAAGCATTTTTAATTCTAATAAAAACATAAGATTGTATTGTAGCCATCACTTTTTTTATTTTTTATTTTTTTTTTGAGACAGAGTCTTGCTGTGTCACCCAGGCTGGAGTGTAGTCACACTATCTGGGCTCACTGCAACCTCTGCCTCCTGGGTTCAAGCGATTCTCCTGCCTCAGCCTCCCAAGTAGCTGGGACTACAGGTGTCTGCCACCACACCAGGCTAATTTTTTTTTTTTTTTAGTAGAGACAGGGTTTCACCGTGTTAGCCAGGATGGTCTCAATCTCTTGACCTTGTGATCCACCAGCTTCAGCCTCCCAAAGTGCTGGGATTACAGGTGTGAGCCACTGCACCCAGCCTGTAGCCATCATTTTACTGGTTGCATAATGTACCATAAGGTACATTGATCTGTTATTGGACATTTAGGTTATAAGAATAATTATTCTCATATATTTAAAAAACAAGGTAGAGAACTTCCAGAATGATGTATATTTCCATATTCCTCCTCCTAAAAACCCTGGAAATTACATATCAAATAAACATAAGAGGACTCTGAAAGGTAGAAGAAGAAGCCAAACCACCTAAAGATGTTGAGACTCCAGGAGTGACACTGTGGTGAGCTCCCTGGATTAGCTTTTTATCTCATATATCCCAGAGGGGGAGCTGGAGAAACCAACAACCAGAAACACCAACAGGTGCAGACAAAACAAACAAACAAACAAACAGAAAGAGCTTGCTCTGCTTAAAGAACCAGAAAAGAGGCAGCCTAGAAAGGCGGAAAACCTTTAGACAATAACCACTCAACTCAGCCAAACACCACAGAAAATATCATTTCACCCACCCATATCCACACAAGGAAAGGCCAGGTGGGGAGTCCAGACTTCTATCCTTCCCAGGCTGTAATAAGGCACTCAAACTTCACCACTGGGGTGGAATCAGGGAAGGCTAAGTGAGAGATCCAGGACTTTCATTCCTACTATGAGACATGGAAGCACTCCCTGTCCCACCATCATGGTATCAGTGGAGACCACACGGGAAGCCTGGACTTAACTCTACAGGCTGCAGTGAGGCTCTTCTTTTCTCCTCTGGGGTTAGTGTCACAAGAGTCCTACTGGACAGTCAGAACTCTTTCCCTCCTCCAGCAGTACCAAGGCCACCCCCATGCAGTGTCAGTGGAAGCTGCATGGGAGCAATAACAAGATATTCCTGCCCCTCCTGGCCAGGGTGGTATCAGCAGAGGCCAGGTAAGGAGTCTAAAATCCTCCCTCCCAGCAGTGATGAGGGGGGCTCTCCCCTTGGGTGTCAATAGGGGCAAAGTGGAGAGAACCTGTATTTCTACTCCCACCTGGTAGGAATGAAGCAGTGTCCCCCTTCCCCTGCCAAAACAGTGTCAGAGGAGACCTGCTAGAACATAAGATTAAACAGTATCCTGAATCTCATAACATAATGCCCCAATGTCCAGGTTTCAATCAACAATTGCTCTTTATACCAAGGATCATAAAATCTCAACTTACAGGAAAAAAGATGATCAACAAATTCAAACATCAAGAGGAAAAAGACGTTAGAATTAACTGACAAGGGTTTTTAACTTTTTATTTGTTATTTTTCTGGGTACATAGATGTATATATTTATGGGGTACATGAGATGATTTGACACAGGCATGCAATGTGTAATAATCACATGGAGAATGGGGTGTCCATCCCCTCAAGCATGTATCTTTGGTGTTACAAACATCCAGTTACACTATTTTACTTATTGACAATGATTTTTAAATAGTCATCATAAAAATGCTTCAGTAAGCAATGCTTCAATAAACTCTTACAACAAATGCAAAAATAGAGAAGACTCAATGAAGAAGATGGAAAGACTCCAGTGGAAATTTCAGAACTGAAACATACCATAGAACCAAAATAGAAACCTCAATGGAGATGGGCTTAACAGCAGAATGCAGGCCAGAGAGGAAAACATCAGGGAATTTGATGATACAATAATAGACATCATCCGACCTGAAAAACGGAAAAAAAATAGTGTTAAAAAGATAGAGTCTCAGGGAATTTTGGGGCTATATCAAACGATCTAACATTCATGTCAGTGGAGTTCTGTAAGGGAGGAGAAAAAGTGAAGCCAAAAACATTTGAAGGAATAAACACTGAAAATTTACAAATATGGCAAAAGACAAAAACCTACAGATTCCAGAAACCAAGCAAACCCCAAAAATGATAAACCCTAAGAAATCTACACCAGGAAATATCATATTCAAACTTTTGAAAGCTAAAGACAAAAAAAATTATGAAAGCAGTGAGAGAGAAATGACACCTTACCAATAGAAGAAAACAATTTAATTGATGGCAGGTATGTCACCATAAACCATGGAAGCCAATATGAAGTAATACAATAGTTTTCAAATGCTAAAAGAAAAAAAAAAACTGTCGGCCAGGCGTGGTGACTCACACCTGTAATCCCAGCACTTTGGGAGGCCAAGGAGGATGGATTACAAGGTCAAGAGATCGAGACCATCCTGGCCAACATGGTGAAACCCCATCTCTACTGAAAATACAAAAATTTGCTGGGTGCGGTGGCGGGCACCTGTAATCCCAGCTACTCGGGAGACTGAGGCAGGAGAATTGCTTGAACCCGGGAGGCGGAGGTTGCAGTGAGCAGAGATCGTGCCACTGCACTCCAGCCTGGGTGACAGAGCAAGACAAAAAAGAAAAAGGAAGGAAGGGAGGGAGAGAGGGAGGGAGGGAAGGAAAGGAAAGAGAAACAAAGAGAGAGAGAGAAAGAAAGAAAGAGAAAGAAGAGAAGAGAAGGAAGGAAGGAAAGAAAGAAGGAAAAAGAAAAGAGAAAAGAAAAGAAGAAAAGAAAGGAGGGAGGGAGGGACGGAACGAAGGAAGGAGGGAGGGAGGGAGGAAGGGAAGGAAGGAAGGAAAAGAAGAAGGAAAGGAAGGAAGGAATGAAGGAAGGGAGGGAGGGAAGGAAGGAAGGAAAAGAAGAAGGAAAGGAAGGAAGGAAGAAAGAAAGAAAGAAAGAAAGAGAGAAAGAAACTGTCAACCCAGATTTATATACCCTTTGAAAATATCGTTCAGAAAACCAAAGAGAAATCAAGACATTCTCAGATGAAGGAAACTTAAAAGATGTGGCCAGCAAACCAACCTAAAACAATGACTAAAGAAAATTCCCTAAACACAAACAAAACTATAAAATAAGGAAACTTGGAAGATCAGACAGGAAAAAATATAATAAAAAATTAATATATGATTAATTTAAATAAATTTCTTTCTCCTCCTGAGTTTTCTAAATTATGTTTCATGGTTGAGGCAAGAAGTATAACACTGTCTGATGTGGTTCTCAATATATGTGTAGAAAATATTTAAGACAATTATATTAAAATGGAGGCGAGTAAAGGAATATAAACAAAGGCGAGTTTTCCACACTTCACTTAAACTGATAAAACGTTAACACTGGTAGACTATGGTAAGCTATGCATACAGCATGAAATACCCAGAGCAACTATTTAAAAAGCTATGCCAATAGGTATACTAAAAAACACTATAGATAAATCAAAATGGAACTCTAAAGCATATTCAAGTAACCCACAGAAAGGCAGGAAAAAGAATACAGAGAAACAAACAAAAAACAGAATGAACAAACAGAATACAATAAATACAATACAGGCTAAATATAGAAAATTACAGCAAGTGGAAAGAGTCTAAAGACATAGAAAAAAGACAGATCTTGGCAGAGTGGATAAAAAAGCATGATCCAACTGTACGATACATTCTGCAAAAAGCTAAATATAACAATATAGGTAGGTTGAAAGTAAAAGGATTGAAGAGATGCACAATTGTTCATAGCAGCTTTGTTTGTAATAGCCAAAAACTAGAGATCACAGAAATGTCCTAAAGATCTCAAGGCCATCATGCCGAGTGAAAAAGGGCAATTCAAAGGGCCATATATTTGATAATTCTATGTATATAACATTCTTGAAATGACACAATTATAAGAATGGAGAACAAATTAGGCATAGGACAAAGGAAAGCTCTGTGGTGATTGAATAGTTCCATATTTTGATTGCACCACCCATGTGAAGAAAACATATATGTGGCCAGGTGCGGTGGCACACACCTCTAACCCCAGCACTTTGGGAGGCTGAGGCAGGCAGATCATGAGGTCAGGAGTTTGAGACCAGCCTGGCCAACATGGTGAAACCCCGTCTCCACTAAAAATACAAAAATTAACCAGGCATAGTGGTGCACGCATGTAATCCCAGCTACTTGGGAGGCTGAGGCAGGAGAATTGCTTGAACCCAGGAGGTGGAGGTTGCAGTAAGCTGAGATCGCGCCACTGCACTCCAGCCTGGGCGACAGAGTGAGACTCCGTCTCAAAAAAAAAAAAAAAAAAGTGCCCACGATTCAGAAATCTAATATTTACAATATTAGATTTAATATTTTAAATATTTAATCTATGTAAATTTAATATTTACAATTCATGGATTCCTCACTGGCTCTACAGAGGCAGATAAGGCCTTCCTATCACTCAGCTACTGGTCTCAGGCTGGCCCCAGTGCCCATTCTTCCTATGTTGTGCACAACCCCTTTCTCAGAAAGACAGGGGCAAAGCTGTCAAGAGAACTTTCTATCACTTCCAGATTCGATCTTCCAGGCAGTGTGGACTTGAGTTTTTACAGCTGAGATTCTCCAAAATGACACTCAAAAAAAGAAAAGAGAAGAGAGAAGCACTTCTAGAACAGCTGCCTTCTCAGTGCCTGGGGCAGGGAAGAGACAGCCCAAAGATCTTGAACCAGAAAACAAAGCCTTGGTAATACCCTGCCTAACTGCAAAGGGGCAAGAGAGGGTAAGCCTCCCATGTGCCCAAAAGGAGAGGAGAACCAGATATGCGTGAGCCCGAGTCTCTTCCAGAACAGCCTTGAAACACACAGATGAAGAAAGGTAGAGGGAACCCCCACAATAAATGTGCAGTGGGGGAACAGGGCAGGAAGAGCTTGGGGAATAGCAAAGGATGCAGTTGGGCTAGAATGTATAGAGTGGGTCGGGGGTCCTGGAATATGAGATAAAGTCAGCTGGGTCAATATTGTGGAGGGTCTTGGTTGCCAGGCAAACAAGAATTTGAGCCTTGCTCTGTCTGTAGGAAGGTTGAACATTTCTGCACCAGCAATGGAGCTATATGAAGGTAGATAAAGAAGATCTCCAAAGTGGAGAATGTGGTAAAGTAATTTACAGGCTAGCCAGATTGACAAAAGTTAACAAATGACCTGGTGGTAGAAAAATAAAGACAATAAGTACCCACTATTCTGTCAAAAGGTTTGGTAATGAAAAGAAGGCAGAAGCCACCTTCATGGAAGAAGTGCCTCATGGTTACGGGTCAGACATTGTAGGATCAGTTAACAGATGTGCTTATAGGGAAAGAAAAAATGATCCAGTAGTAAAGAAGACATGAAAGAGGCAAGAAAAGGGGGAGCATAATGGATGAAATGTGGCCCTGAAGAAATCAAAAGGGAATCAGCCAAGGAAGGAACAACTCTGCATGTGAGACACAAGAGGAAAAGAATAAAAATTATTAGAAAGGTATGGAGGCAGAAAAAAAGTCTAAGAAACTAACGAAGCAGAAACAGTTTTGCAGACAATTTTTCTAATGATTCTAAAAGAGATACATTCAATTTGTGGAATTTGTGGAATAAAAACAAGAAAATAATATTCATCAGTAACTATAAAATGCAAAGAATTTCACTGCTAACCTCTTGATTTATTTACTTTCAGTATTTTTCATACATTTTCAAACTAATGGACTATTTCAAACACTGCTATTTTATGAAGTCAAATTTATCGTATTTTTTACAGGTTCTTAATTTCAAGTCACTGTTACAAAGGCCTTCCTCATCTGAATTTGTAAAAGTATTCTCCTATATTTTATTTTAGTACATTTATGATTTTCACTTTTCACATTTGAATCTTTGATCCATTTGTAATTTAAGTATATAGATAAAGTAGTGAACATTCATGCAGCTGCACAGTTGTATCAAATCTTAACTTTTTATGTTAACTCCACTTTATTGAGATACAATTTTCAGACAATAAGATGCATCAATTGAAAGTGCGCAGGTCAGGCTGGGCACAGTGGCTCACGCTTGTAATCCCAGTGCTTTGGGAGGCCAAGGTGGGAGGATCAGTTGAGGTTAGGAGTTTATGCCAGCCTGGGCAACATAATGAGGCCCCATCTCTAAAAAAATTTTTTTAAATTAGCCAGGCATGGTGGCATGTGCCTGTAGTCCCAGCTACTTGGGAAGCTGAGGTGGGAAGACAACTTGAGCCCAGTAATTCAAGGCTTCAGTGAGCTATGATCATGCTACTAAACTCCAGCCTGGGCAATAGAGTGAGACCCTGTGTCTAAAAATAAAAATAAAAGTAGGCAGCTTCATGGAGTTTGAAAGCACATGAATTTGTGTAATCAACACCCAGATCAAGATACAGAATAGCATTTCAAAATGTAGAACATCAACCTTAGAAATTCTTTCTTGTTGCTTTCCAGCCAGTACATCTCTCTGACAGAGACAACCACTACTCTTATCTCTAACCATGTCAAAGATGAGTTTTGCCTGTTCTTGAAGTTAATATAAATGTAGTCATACTGTTCGTACTGTTTTGTGCCTGACTTCTTCAGCTCAATATGTTTTTGAGATTTTTCCATGGTGTCATGAGTACCGGCAGTTCATTCTTTATTGTTGTTGCATACTACTCCATTACATAAACATGTCACAGTTTGTTGTCCATTATTCTGTTTATGAGCAGTTATTTTTATTTTAGTGCTATTAAGAATATAGCTGCTATAAGCATTCTTGTGCAAATATTATTGTGTGTATAAAATATATACATTCATCTCTCTTGGACATATACCTAACCATGAAATTGCTAGGTCCTTGGGGGAGGTCCTTTGTCAGAGAGAGAGAGAGAGAGAGAGAGAGATAGTATATTACTGTATAAATAAATATGTGTTTATTTATTTTTATACACATATTTATTTATAGAGTCATGTGCCACATAATGACATTTCAGTCAACAATGATGGAACATACACATACAAAAGCTGTCCCAAAAAACTATAATGTCATATTTTTATTGTACCTTTTCTATGTTTAAATGTGTTTCCAGATAACAAATACTTACCATTGTGTTACAGTTGCCTACTGTATTCAGTACAGTAACATGCTGTGCAGGTTTACAGCCTATGAGCAATAGACTATACCATATAGCCTAAGTGTGTTATAGGCTATACCATCCAGGTTCATGAAGTCCACTGTGATGTTTACACAACAACAAAATCACTAAAGGTGAATTTCTCAGAATATATTCCCATTGTTACAAAAGATATGACGTTGTGTATGTATGTGTTCTAATGTGTGCGTTGGGGGGTGGGTGTATGAAGAGAGAGAGAGAATATTTTAACCCAGGCTGTAGCTTGCCTTTTCACTTTCTTAGCTATTTATCTGATCAACAAAAGGTTTTCATTTTGATGAAGTCTAATCTATTTATTATAGTGTCCTCCATGAGCTTAGAAGTCTTCTCATGGCAGAAGGTTATGAATATAATCTTCTGAGTTTTCTTCTAAAAACTTTAGACTTGAAATCTTCACAATTAAGTGTTTAATCCAACCTGAATTAAGTTTTATACGTAGCGTGAGGTAGAGATCAAGATGTATTCATTTTGGCTATACAAGTATCCACTTGATTCAGCGACAAGTATTGAACAGTATTGAAAAAACAGTATTGAAAAAGCTTTCCTTTTCTCATTGACTTGCTTTGGGATCTTTGTCAGAAATCAATTGACCACATATATGTGAGTCTATTTCTAAACTCTATATTCTTTCTCATTGATCTACTTTCCAACCCTTATGCCAATATCACACTGTTTTAATTGTAGTAGCATTATAGTAACTTGCATGAATTTACATTTCATTGCCACAAGCAATGAGAGTGCTATAGGCAGTGAATGTATCTGTTATCAAACTTTGATTTTTTTCAGTTTGATAGGTGGAAAACTAAAATATCTCAGTATAATTTAAATTTACATTTCTCTTTTCATGAGTGACATTGAGCATTTTTTCTTATTTTAAGTGCCTTTTGTATTTTCCTTTTGGTCACTGTCTAGAGTGTAATTGTAATATTGTTTCCCAGTTTGTCATCTTGTCTTCTGGTTTTACAGGTTGTATTTTTCACCCAAGCACAAGTTCAAACACTGTTATTTTATGGAGTCAAATCTAACAGTTTTTTACGGCTTCTTAATTTTGAGTCATCATTGGAAAAGTCTTCTGACTCCAAATTTATAAAATAATTATCCTTTTGGGCATATTTATTATTTATTTTTCATATCTCAATCTTTGATCTACTTGTAATTCGTCCCACTGTAAAGGATGAAGTATGGTTTCAACATTCCCTGCCCCCACACCAAAGGGAATACAAAATTGTCCCCAAAGTACATATAATACATATAACGGTCTACCTTTTCCCCATGGCTTTTATTTTGTATTTTATTTTATTTTATTAAAAATGAAATCGCACTGTGTTGCCCACCTGAACTTGAACTCCTGGGTTCAAGTAATTCTTCTGCCTCAGCCTCCTACAGAATGGGAGAAAATTTTTGCAATCTGTCCATCTGACAAAGGGCTAATATACAGAATCTACAAGGAACTTAAACAAATTTACAAGAAAAAACAAACAACCCCATCAAAAAAATGGGCTAAGGATATAGAAAGACACTTCTCAAAAGAAGACATTTATGTGGCCAACAAACATATGAAAAAAGCTCATCATCACTGGTCACTAGAGAAATGCAAATCAAACCACAATGAGATACCATCTCACACCAGTTAGAATGACAATCATTAAAAAGTCAGGAAACAACAGATGCTGGAGAGGATGGAGAGAAATTGGAACACTTTTACACAGTTGGTGGGAGTGTAAATTAGTTCAACCAATGCAGAAGACAGTGTGGCAATTTCTTAAGGATCAAGAACCATAAATACAGTTTGACCCAGCAATCCTATTACTTGATACATACCCAAAGGATTATAAATCATTCTACTATAAAGACACATGCACATGTATGTTTATTGCAGCACTATTCACAATAGCAAAGACATGGAACCAACCCAAATGCCCATCAATGATGGACTGGATAAAGAAAATGTGGCACATATACACCATGGAATACTATACAGCCATAATAAAGGATTAGTTCATGTCCTTTGCAGGGACATGAATAAAGCTGGAAACCATCATTCTCAGCAAACTCACACAGGAACAGAAAACCAAACACTGCATGTTCTCACTCATAAGTGGGAGTTGAACAATGAGCACACATGGACACAGGGAGGGGAACATCACACCGGGGACTGTGAGGGGGTGAGGGGCTAGGGGTGGGATAGCATTAGGAGAAATACCTAATGTAGATGACAGGTTGATGGGTACAGCAAACCACCATGGCACTTGTATACCTATGTAGCAAACCTGCACGTTCTGCACATGTATCCCAGAACTCAAAGTACAAAAAATCTCATAATTCAAGAAAAAAAAAAAAGGATGAAAAGGGGCCACTAGCTGAGGATGTGGACAGCCTGTAGAAGCTGGAAAAGGCAAGAAAATGATGTTCCCCTAGAGCCTCCATAAAGGATTAGCAGCAAGTAACTTTCTGAAGAAAATGCTGAGTAAGTATTCCTCAGAAAGAAAACACACCCCTTTCAATGAATCCTATTTAAACATCCAGTATAAACCAACACTGTGATACATTTTTATCTAATGTAATACCACAAGCAAACACCAAGCACTAAAAATGTTATAAAATGTGGACTTTGGAAAACCAAAAGAGAGCTAGTCTCTTTTCCAAGAAATTTCTTATTAGCAATCAAACCCTACCTTTTCCCCATGGCTTTTATTTTATTTCATATTTTATTTATATTTTATTTTATGTTATTACATTTTATGGAAAGCTAAAACATAAATCTAGCAATTATCTTTAAAACAAGACTTTTAAAAGACTAACATTTTAATTCATACTCACATTGTCCTGACACTGAAAATGGGGAAACCATTTGGGCAGAACAAACTAAAATATTGACTTCTGATTTCTAAGTTTACCAATAATTATTAAACATTAATAGTTTCCCTTTTCTAGAGAAGAAAGGAAAAGAAGGATGAACTCATTCCTGGTTAAGCTCAGTGCCAAGTGGAGAGGTCAACAAGAATGTAATGAACTTAGTATACTCACACCTGCTTAATAATGGATGCTGTTAGGACAGTTCCTTTTGAAGACATAATTTGAAGCTCTGGGTCCAATAGACAAGTAGTAGTTATGATGGGTAATAACTTACTAACAGCCTAAATGCACATGTTTATGAGACAAATAACTCTTCTTAAGCAAGTAAAAAGCAGACTAATAAGATGTTCCTACAGGATTTGATATAAACCTGAGAAAGGAAAACATCCCACCTGTGTGACACCACGTAGAAGAGAGGCTATATAAGCACTTCAAAGAGGAAAACACCAAGAGCCTTGGAATTCAGACTCTGTGGAGGTGGCTTGAGCTTTTCATCCTGGTGACCACAGACCTGGAACAAACTAAAGCCAGACACATACTATGGACACCAAGGGCTGTACAACAACCAATTCTCCTTCAACCCCATGTCAAAACTGCTCTAGGATTACAAATGTTAGTACCATCTCTTCTAACAACGGCTGCCATCCTGGTGGCCTTACAGTCAACAACTGTCAACCAGCTGGCCACGTTCTCAGAATTCCCTGGGACCAGGGCTGCCAACCCACTCCTCGCTTTTGTCGCAAGCCCATCTACCTAATGAACAACTTCAATGCCCGTTTTTCTCTGGATGACTGCAGCTGGTATGGTGAAGGCATCAACAGTAATGAGAAGGAGACCATGCAAATCTTGAACGAGCGCCTTGCTAACTACCTGCAAAAGGTGCGAATGCTAGAACGAGAGAATGCTGAACTGGAATCTAAAATCCAGGAAGAAAGTAACAAAGAGCTCCCTGTTCTATGTCCTGATTACCTGTCTTACTACACTACCATTGAGGAGCTCCAGCAGAAGGTAAGATTCCTAAGAACCTGTTTAATCGTGTTGTGAATTAATGGTTTCCAAGCAACAGTTATTTGCTAAACTTTAATATTTTTTGTTCAGTTGATGCTGAAAATTTTTTTGAAGAATAGAAAAATTTCTTGAGTGAAATTGTCATCTTGAGGCAGCATTCAGAGTCTGATAGTATTTCTGGTCAGGCGCAGTGATGCACACCTGTAATCCTAACACTTTGGGAGGCTGAGGCAGACAGATCACTTGAGCCCAGGAGTTCTAGACCATCCTGGGCAACATGATGAAATTCCATCCTTACACACACACACACACACACACACATACACACACAAAAAAAAATTAGATGGGCGTGGTGGCACATGCCTGTGGTCCCAGCTACTTGGGAGGCTGAGGTGGGAGGATCACTTGAGCCCAAGAGGTTGAGGCTGCCATGAGCCAAGATCCTGCCACTGCACTCCAGCCCAGACAAAAGTGAGACTATGTCTTTAAAAATCAGAAACAAAAAGAAGAGTCTCATGGTGTTTCCTTTCTCCAGAAATACACTCTACCATTATAACTAGATGACTCAGGACCAAAAGATGTTAACAGCAAGTTGTTGCCATTTTTTAAATAAAAATAGGGAAACAGAGATCAGAGAAAATAAATTTTGCTTTAATGAGTTTCTAAGCAATTTAGTTTTTATCCATTTTTCAACCATCACCACCTTTTTCTCCTTTTATGCTTATGTTATCATCTCCACATTGCTTGGTTTGTTTCTACACCAAACCTAAGTTTGTTATGCACAGACGTATTCTGCTACTACATATCTGGATTTATTCAGTTTTATTCATTCAACAAATGTTTACTGAGCAGCAACAACATTGGGCCAAACATTGTTCTAGATTCTGGGAAAATATTGGTGACCTTTAAAAAGTCCCTGCCCTCATGGAGTTGACATTCTAGTGGATCATGGTATTTATATAAATTTAGGATGGATTTTATTTTATTTTTTATTTATTTATTTATGTATTTATTGAGATGGAGTCTCACTCTGTCACCAGGCTGGAGTGCAATGGCGCGATCTCTGCTCACTGCAACCTCCAGCTCCCAGGTTCAAGCGATTCTCCCTCCTCTGCCTCTCTAGTAGCTGGGTCTACAGGCACGCACCACCACACCCAGATAATTTTTGTATTTTTTTTTTTTTTTGAGACGGAGTCTCGCTCTGTCTCCCAGGCTGCAGTGCAGTGGCGCGATCTCGGCTCACTGCTAGCTCCGCTTCCTGGGTTCATGCCATTCTCCTGCCTCAGCCTCCCAAGTAGCTGGGACTACAGGCGCCCGCCACCACGCCCAGCTAATTTTTTTTTTTTTTATATTTTTAGTAGAGACGGGGTTTCACCGTGTTAGCCAGGATGGTCTTGATCTCCTGACCTCGTGATCTACCCGCCTCGGCCTCCCAAAGTGCTGGGATTACAGGCGTGAGCCACTGCGCCCGGCCAATTTTTGTATTTTTTAGTAGAGACAGGGTTTCACCATGTTGGCCAGGATGGTCTTGATCTCTTGACCTCGTGATCCGCCCGCCTCAGCCTCCCAAGTGCTGATATTACATGGGTGAGCCACTGCTCTCAGCCTGGATTTTTTAACAACAACAACAAAAAAAATACTTAAAAGTTTCTAGTTAAGTACTTTTTGCTGATCTTTTAGGAAAATAACAGGAAATCTGACTTTCTGAAGTTTTCCAAGCTTTGTGAGCATAGCTATGAAGATTAATAAAAAGTCTACTTAGCCTTCCCCTGTTACTTGACACACACACAAACCCCTTGGTTCTTAAAGAAGGAAATCTTGGTGTTTGCTTCATTTGTGTGTACAATCTCTTAATTCTAGATCTTGTGTACCAAGGCCGAGAATTCCAGACTGGTCTCGCAAATTGACAACACCAAACTGACTGCAGATGACTTGAGAGCCAAGTAAGCCCACCCAACACCGTCATCAATGACAGAGCTCACCCTGAGTCTGACCGAGATGCCCTCAACAAAATTGTCCCCATGTCTACTAACCCTCTTGCCCCAGATGATGTTGGCACAAGCCCAGAAAAGACTTTCAAATTCAATGAATGATTAAGATTAATAACTGCTCACATGTATACAGTACCTATAGTTTCTAACTTGTGAACCCATTTGATTACCTACACAATAGTTCAGTAAAATAGATAGGACTAATATATTGTTACTCTCTTTAAGGTGAGAAATCTGTGGCTTAGTGAGGCTAAGTTACTCACCCAAAGGTAAGCATAACTAGCACAAGTCAAAACCGAAACTTGGACACATGTTTTCTGAGCCCTAATCCAGTGCTTTCTTCACTTACATTGCATTGCCACTAGGGGCAGAGGAAGGACAATAAATTCCCATATCTCAAAGAACAGCAATGTAGATCCCCCTAGCAAACTAATTTGGGAATAATAATTAAGTTATGATCTATATCAAATGGTTTCACCTCCAAAGAGAATAAAACTTCTAATAGAAATACACTAAGTGAGGTGCCCAGAGCAAAATGCAGATGAGAGTTCTGCTTGGCTTGGTTTGCATCATCTCCTTTCAGATGTCTCTCTTTTCCCATCTGGTTTTTAAAGATACGAAGCTGAGGTGTCTCTACGCCAGCTGGTAGAGTCAGATGCCAATGGCCTCAAGCAGATCCTGAATGTGCTGACCCTGGGCAAGGCCGACCTAGAGGCACAAGTCCAGTCTCTGAAAGAGGAGCTCCTTTGCCTCAAGAACAACCACAAAGAGGTGAGACAAAGACCAATAGAGTAATCACAAGCTAAGTCCCTAAAAGTAGCATCAGTTCCTTTGAGTTGCACCTGACAAAGGGTGTGCCCGCTTGTATTAGTTCGTTCTCACACTGCTATAAAGAAATAACTGAGAGTAGGTAATTTATAAAGGACAGAAGTGTAACTGAGTCACAGTTCCACATGGCTGGGGAGGCCTCAGGAAACTTACAATCATGGCTTAAGGGGAAGCAGGCACATCTCACTTGGCAGCAGGAGACAGAGAGAGACCAAAGGGGGAAGAGCCCTTTATAAAACTATCAGATCTTGTGAGAACTCACTCACTATCCTAAGAACAGCATGGGGGACACCACCCCCATGATCCAATCTCCTCCCACTAGGTCCCTCCCTTGACACATGGGAATTATGGGAATTACAATTCGAGATGAGATTTGGGTGGGGACACAGAGCCAAACCACTGCTACGTACTACTCTGGTTTAGCCCTGAAAATACCTACTGCTACTAGCACTGGTTCAAGGTAGTATTTCAAATCCACTGGCTCCAACACAATATCTGGAGCCATAAGGGGAAGAAAGGCCTCCAACATCCCCTCCAGCTTTTCTACAAGAAGGAACCCAATTTTTCTGTCCTTACAGTCTTCCCATGTTTGTAGGCATCCCTATACAGGCTTCTGCCACCTCCCATTGGTACAAGTCAATATTGGTGCAAGTCAATATTGGCACAATCCCGTATTTGCACCATAGAGACTATAATCTCTCATGATCAATTCCACCTTTATCCTGTTTCACCCATTATCCAGCCCTGGAAATGATCTAAATTTTTTGGAACTCTGGTCTTGCTACTCATTTTTTTTTAATTTTGCACACATTTAAACACACAGTCCTACCTGAAAGAGTCTTAAATCATTTTATAGCATCTCAATAACACCTGTAAATCATGTATTCCTTTGTTGTGGGCTATATTTTAGACACAATTAAGCTAAATCGTAGCAGTTAGAGTGAAACAAGAACACAAAGGGGTTATCTGTTCACCAAGTGACTTCACAGTCTTTTTCTTTCCTTAGGAAATCAATTCTTTACAGTGTCAGCTTGGGGAGAGACTTGACATTGAAGTGACTGCTGCCCCTTCTGCTGACCTAAACCAGGTTCTACAAGAAATGAGATGTCAATATGAGCCCATCATGGAGACAAACCGCAAAGATGTGGAACAGTGGTTCAACACGCAGGTGGGGGATATAGAAAAGTCAAAAACAATAAGCTGATGCTGCATTTCTAGGGCCCTTTAATCAAAGTCATGTTTTCCTCCCATAATATTCTCAGTCTCTGGCTGTGTGTTTCAGATAGAGGAGCTGAATCAACAAGTGGTGACCAGCTCTCAACAGCAGCAATGCTGCCAAAAGGAGATCATAGAACTGAGACGCAGTGTGAACACTCTGGAGGTTGAACTGCAGGCCCAGCATCGAATGGTACTGAGCAAGCTGACCAAGCCTAGCTCAGCAAAGATGGAAACAGTCCCTTACACCTGTGTGCTGCAGTATTTCCCAAACTGTGTCTTTCAGAACAATAGTTCCTCATTTGTTAAAGCGTCTATGGCTGAAAAAGAGCTTTGTGGCCAAATAAGTCTACGAAACGCTGCACTAAACCAAGGTTAAACAGGGTGCCTTCCTGTGAGCCATTAATAAGCTAATATACACCATGAATCTCCAGGAAGGGGGTATATGGTATTCAGCATTCCAAAACTTATTTGACTGTGGATCCCCCCACTTTTTTTAGAACATCTCATGGTATTAATGATTCATGAAGTACACTTTGGGAAACACTGGGAGAGCATTTTATTATATGCAAAGCATTTTTACAAGCTATCACATGAGATTTATAAAGCAATCCTAAGAGGGGGGGTGGCATAATTATTAACGAATGTTACAGATGAGGCTCCAAGAGCTAAAGTGATTTTCCCAAGCAAATCCAAGGTAAGTTTCAGCCCACCTATTTTATAGAGACACTGAGATCCTGAGACATTAAGAAACTCATCCAAAGTCACAAAAGAAATAAGAGTCTGAGCCAGAGTTTAGATTCCAAAGCCAGTATCATTCTGTCTCATGATAATGCCTCTCTGAAGTAGAGAATTGCTTACATGCTCTGATGTGAAGGCTTTTGGGAAGACCTTGCCCCACACTGGTTTTGTCACCAGCTAGTCATGTGACCTTGGACAACATATTGAACCACTTGAACCTCAGTTTTCTCATCTATAAAAATTGGGATAATCATGCAAATAATAGGCTATTAAAACCTAAAATCCCATCATTATCCATAGACTTACAGAATGATAGAGCAGGAATGAAATTTACTCATCAGTTTCAACTTTCATATTTTACATATAAAGGAATTGATCTGGTGGATAAATTGTATATGGTAAAACATTGCTTCCTTCCTTTTTTAAGACACGAACACTCACTGAATGAAGTGCCATGGTAATGCTTTTTTTTTTTTTTCTTTTTGAGATGGAGTCTCACTCTGTCGCCCAGACTGGACAGCAGTGGCACGATCTCGGGTCACTGCAACCTCCACCTCCCGGGTTCAAGCAATTCTCTGCCTTAGCCTCCCAAGTAGCTGGGATTACAGGTGCCCACCAGAACACCCAGCTAATTTTTTGTATTTTTAGTAGAGACGGGGTTTCACCATCTTGGCCAGGCTGGTCTTGAACTCCTGACCTTGTGATCCACCCACCTGGGCCTCCCAAAGTGCTGGGATTATAGGCGTGAGCCACTGCGCCCAGCCAGTAATGCATTTTTAATGCCTGGGTGTGCATTAAGTTATTATTTTTTCTCTCCTAAGTAGGAAAGTGTGGTGCGAGACTATTGGTTGGTCAAGAAAGAGAAAGTGAAACAAATACTTACAGAGAAGCAAAAAGAGAAAGAGAGAAAGAGGGAAGAGATAAAGGAAAGCAGATTTTAGCATAGTTGATCATTTGGGTTTTGGATTTATTTGATTAGGAAACAATAAATAAAGTGCTTGGAGATCTATCAGTAGTGTCACAAAGAAACCATTTTTTTTAAATGATACAGGTCACAGGTGACCTGGGCTTAAAGGAGTCATTATAAATCCTACTATCCTTCTCCATGGTAGAGAGATTCCCAAGAGTGCATCCTAACGGAGACAGAGGCTCGCTACACGGCCTTGCTGACCCAGATCCAGAGTCTGATTGATAACCTGGAAGCTCAGCTGGCAGAGATCCGGTGTGCCCTGGAAAGACAGAACCAAGAATACGAGATCCTGCTGGACGTCAAGTCCCGGCTGGAATGTGAGATTACCACATACCGCAGCCTTCTGGAGAGCTCGGATGGCAAGTATGTAAAATAACAGCAACTTCTATGACAAAAAAGTGTAAATGAACGCAGATATATGTACTGCCACTGGCAACAGGGGTCAAGTGCTTTGTTTGACCTTCTTGCCAGTGATGGGGAGCTTGGACAGAGGCATCCACACACCCTCTCAAGCTGTGCCATGAGGAAGACTTGCAATTGTAACCTTATCCAAATTTGAGGCATTGGCTGACCTGAGCTGTTCTGAAGAGCCCATGGGCCAGGTTAATTTCTTATAGGTTGCTTACCTTCTTAGAGTTTTAAAAATTACTAGAGAAAAAATTATTTCCCCATAGATGAATATTCCTGGTGACCATTACAGATGTTTCCCCACTGAGATGAACGTCTGATTTTCATGAGCTTGTACAAAACAACCCAGGCTCCTTTGGAGGAACATTCTGCTCAGGCTGAAACCCCTAACCCTATCTAGCCACTAGTCCTTGAGGCCAACAGAAGCATGTACACATGTATGTTTTAGCATCTTTTTTAAAAAATAAAAGTTATAATTTTTGTAAGCAATAAGAAGCTAACCAACCCATAAGTAAACATATATGGAGGATGAGTTCTTTGAAGCAACTCAGTCCAAACTAAAACCCCAGAGACTTAGTTACAATTGCAAAGGAGACCTACTTCCCGAAAATAATCAGTGAACTCTTCACAGCATTCTTTTAATTGGCATGACCACATTATGTGAGCACAATGGTCATCAATGCTGTCACCTTTAGGAGCTGTGATCATATACCAAAATACCTCGAATCATCAAAGAAAGATTATGTTTATAAAAAGAGTGTTTACTATGAACTGCTTTTTACTTCAGTTCTCTAAAAACTATGCATAGACAGCCAGAAGGCACTTTGAAGCTTCCTGATGACACAGTGAGGACTCTTTCATAGCTGGGGTTCAGGCCACCACTATTAGTATGACTAACTCCTCAATGAGAAAAATATCTGGTTAATTTCCATTCCTCGGATAATAATGCCCTCAACTTGTTCCTTATCACTGTTGATCCTGTGGGTTTAGTTTCCATTATATCCATTCTGCAGATGAAAAACTAAAGGTTGAGTGCGTTAAATGACTTAGCTGAGGTCACCAGCTGGTAAAGGACAGAGCTGGTCTCTGCCTCAGTCTTTTGACTGCTAGTGCAGTATTCTTTCCACAATGTGATGGTATTGACTAATGGAAACTTACATAATCGAATACTTCTAAACCTAGGATGCTGATTTCCAATGGATTTAATCTGATTCTTTTTCTTCCAGTAACTACAGTACAAAATAAATGAATAAGCATTTAGAAGTATGTACTTGTCTTGAGCAACACGTGTTAAAAAAATTAGCCACAATCATTTTTCTCCATGACCATCATCGCCTTCCCTCAATCACAGCTAAAATTGTGTTTTTTTTCCTTAGGCGTCCCTGTTACCCACGTGCCACCAAATGTGAGCCTTCCCCTTGGACATCTTGTAAGTCCGGAGCCATAGAAAGCACGGCCCCAGCTTGCACATCCTCATCCCCCTGCAGCTTAAAGGAGCACTGCAGTGCCTGCGGACCCCTGTCCCGGATACTGGTTAAAATTTGCACCATCACCAAGGAGATTAAGGATGGGAAGGTCATTTCTTCTTACGAGCATGTGCAGCCTTGTTTCATCATCAGACCTGCCAAAGTCTAACATCCCAAGGTGATGAAAATGACCCACATTTATGAAACAGAGGCCAATACATGCTCCTGCCAGAGAGGTTTAAGAAAACTCCCCAGTCCCTTAAGGTACTTAGTTTCTTACTACTACAGCGGGTCCCCATTGCTAGGTAGAATATCTTTTATTCTGCTCCTTCCCTAACTCACCACTGCTAACATGATAATAAATTACATTTCTCTGGAAGGATGTTTTGCATTTATCTGAGGGATGGGAACTGATTTGTAAGCACCCAGGAAGATGGCCTACATTGCTTGACTACCCAGGTGATTGATGGGCAGGTCTCTCTCTTGTTTACTCAGGCCTTGTTTACCGACATTCCTCCTTAGAGCCAGTCAGACAAGTTTAGGGTTGTTTTTGGCCACCGGCACCTGAAGGTGAAAAGCTACAACCTTCCCTTCTAAATGTCTTTGGATACAGAAAGAAACATATATGGGAACAGTATAAATAGGGGAAAAGATCTTTAATATTTAATTCACTTGTGTAGATAGTCACGAGTATGGATCCTATTAAACTCTGCTGTCTTAATTATGATTTATCTATACTAACATACTTTACCTTTCCAAAGATATTTTTTTAAATGTCCATGGTCTCCAAAACTTTGTGACCTATTAGGCTCTCCAAATATTTTATTTGAGAATCAGATAAGTTGTGGGGAGTGAATCTAGAACACTTTGAAGAAATAGCATGGGTCTTTTCATTAAACATTTGCTATTTCTCTTTCTATTCTTTAGGGAATGGGAGTTTGTTCTGATTGTTTGACAAGGAACATTTAGCTGGAATTCTCAAGAAATAACCCTTCTTCCCCTCCCTGTGAAGAGTGACAAAGAAAAACATAGCTTAGATTCCTGCTTCAATCTATCCATCAGAGTAAATGGACATAATATCCACACATTTTGCAGAAAAGCAATAGTGAATAATTGCTGCTTGTAAGTGCAAGGCAGTCCCAATGTGAGAAGGCATCATTTATATACCAGCCATCATCACAGCTTCTTACAGGATAGTCTCAGAATATGTAAGTCATTCCTGACAATAATCATTGGACATTGCCAGAGGTTTTAAGAAATAATTCAAAATCAAACACAGATGGGTAGTCAAAAGGCCTGAAGTCCTACACCTGCATTTCCCAGCTGTGACCTTGGGGAAAACATTTAGACTTCATCAAATTTAATTTCTGTGTTTGTTAAATGAGGATCATGCCTACTTCACAGGGTTGTTGTGATGATCAAATGAAATTGTTTATGTGACACTGCTTTGAATGCTGAAAAGCACCACCCAATGTAATTTTTATGTAAGTTTTGCTTTTAGCTACAGCCCTAGACCTATTTTTGTAATTATCTCATTTTAAAATTCTTTCTTCATGAATTTAGTTATCCAGTCATGATTTTGGAGTTTTAATAGTGTTTAACTTTTAGGAGAAAAAAAAACATGATTTCCTGTGATCAGGCCCACAATTCTACTCAATAAAGCATTTTTCAGTTCTTAGGGTATGTATCGCATATCAATGAGTCAATAATGCCTGATGCCCACATCAAAGACACATGCATTGTGTAACTTACAGCTTGATGATTTACTTCCTCCAGACAAGTAGCAACTTACACTAGGCAAGTGGAATGCAGAACTCCCAGAATGACCTCTTTTAAATCAATAATTTCTCTCTCATCTGAGTGGGCAGAGTACCTCCGGTCAGTAGTTAACTGCGTACTATCTCAGGCTGCAGGATGAAAATGTGGAAAGAGCATGGAACTGGGATTCAGAAACCTTGGGACGGAGTCTCAATCCAGCCTGGGCATGTATGACCTCGAGTAAATAGGATATAACAATATAAGCCCTGCCTACCACACGGCTGCAAGGATAAAATGGAATAATAATGGTGAAAGGGTCTCATAAACTGTAAGGTGCTTTGCAGAAGGGCATTCCTATTCCCTATATTTAAACCTAGACACATGTCGTTTCCATCAATACCTTCTTCCTTTCTTTCTGGTTCAGTGCTGGGCCCAGGTGGACCTTGATATATATCATCCACACTAAAATCTGCTCCGAGCTACAAAATTAGGGTTGAGGAATCTCACTGGACTCAAGCTAAGATTGAACTGATGCAGCAGTGCCATTTTCAGTTTATCCTAGAAGTAGGATGCCTTCCTCCTATGGAGAGCAAAATATCCCCCATGCCATTCATGGTTTTAAAAAATATATGATTATAAGCTGCACAGTAAAGAGGGGAGTTAGCCACTCGAAGGCTTGCAGTTTTGTTTTTTTTTTTAAGTGTCTTCTTCGTATAAGAGAATGTAAAACCATTTGCTGGTTGTATGCATGTGGTCAAAACTTTTAAAGGCAATAAGGAGACTGGATTTTTACTAGGAGGCTAAATAAGTATCCTACACAGCCACAGGAGGAAATTTAAGGTTTTATGACAGTTCAGCATAAGTCAGCAGCTAGAGCAGAAAAGGGGCTCGTGGGGAGGGAAAGTGTAATTTTAGCACAGTTCGAAAGACAACCATGAATCAGGAAACACAGCATGGTGTCCAGAGCCTGAGGTCAAATCCTATATCTCTGCTTCTCACTCTGAGGGTCCATAATTATATTTCTTAAAAAGGGAGATATTTTAGATATATTTTTTCTAGATTTTTTTCCTTTCTTCTTGTTGACTCCACTTCATGTCATAGCTAGTTTAAACTCTTCCAAACACAGAGGTAAGTAACCACGCTTCCCCCTTTCTCCTTGCCTCTCACCCCTTAACTGTCCCCCATCACCTGCCCCCATCACACAGCCCACACCCTTTGCATCCTTACTTCCCAGAGCCAATTCCAGCAATTGCTGATCAGAAGAGACTACCCAGAAACTTTTCCTCCAGAGTTCAGTTAGTGGTAACCCCTTACCTGACGTCCCGCCAAAACTTCTCCAGTGTGACCCAGAAGCCACCTGCAATTGCATTAATAGGGGAGTCTGTATCATTCAGATTCCTGGGCCTTACCCCAGACCTCCTGTATCTGCATCTCCAGCTGTGGGACCTGGGAATCCAAATTTTAACAAAAGTCTCAGCTGAAGTGTGTGCACTGAATTAAAAGCCACTGCTTTATCACTGATGGGGGCTTTTGGCTTAAAGATCTGAATGACTTGATGACTTATTTGAGGCTTTTAGATTTGGGCATAGCTTGATAGACAACCACACATGCAGATTCCCCCCTCCTTCGTGTCTATTCGCCTGTTTATAAAATGGAGTTAATCAATAATGACCAATAATTTAATAAATATCATCAACTCATTTAATCCTCACAACCCCATCATGAAGTAGATATTATTAATAGCCCCATTTCACAGATGAGGAAACTGCTGGGCAGAAAATTTAACTGACTCATCCATGCCGCACAATAATGGGATTGAATTATCAGTACTTTTATTTCCTTAGAAAGGTCAAATAGCACCTGATACAAGAACAGAAATAATCTGTAGTAGCAACAGCTTGCTTTTCAACTCTTCAAAGCACCCTTCTCCAGCTCATCACAGCTTCCAGTGAGAATCATCCAAGGAGTCTTTATCCCTCATCCAGAAATGCAGAGAATATGTGGATTTTTGAATGCGGAAGGTATTGGATGGCAGCTAATAGCATTTTTAATGTGAGAGATGGAGAATCTGGGGCACAGAAAGAACAGTAACTGGTCCATGGTACGTGGGTCGAAAAGAGGACCAGTGCTCTTTCTTCTGCTCCTCACTCTCCTTGTTCCCCGTCTTCTGCTCCTCACTCTCCTCGTTCCCAGGCACATCTGTAGTGAACAGGTGTGGACTGAGGCCTAATGTGAAGAACACTGGACCCCAAGACAGTGACCTCAGGCTCTAACTCTCAGAAGTACCATTTGGCTTCTCTGTGCTTAGACTCTGGGCAGTCACCATGGACTCTTCAAAGCTTACGTCCTTAGTTTCTCTTACAAGCTCTGACATTACTTATCATGTCTAGCTTTCTACCTCTGTAAATAAGAACTGACACCAAAAAAAGTCTTCCAACCCCCCCCACCCCACTTTGCCAGTGTCTTTTAAAGGCAATTGGATGGTATCAGTGAGATCTTCATGTCTTTAGAAGATAATGACTCTATGTTGTTATTAATTCCCATAATTTCCATTTTTCAAACAATGAAGAAAAGTATCTTACTCTAGACAGAAACGGATCCCTTACCTGAGTAAGTTTATCCTATTTCTGTCCATTTTGATTTAAAATTAAAGTTTTTATAATGAAAACACATTTTAAAAGCAAACATCCACTTTAAATGAGAGAAGGGGGGAAACATTAAAATTCAAGAGAAAAGGAAAGTGTCCCCAAAGAGAAGAGAATAGGTCATTATTAGGTTAGGAAGAATTTCTAGGCTGAGGCAATCAGCATCCGTGACACAGACTTGGGTTAGTCTCAGGGCAAGCAAACCTTGAATACATTGTTTCAACACTGTGATCAAATGTCTTTTATAGGAAATGAATCCTCTGGGTATTGGGCTGGCTAGAAATATCTGATCAGTGTGTTCATGAATGATTCACAAGTTTCATGGGAACAACCCACGCACCCAGTTCAAATGGGAACAACCCTGTTTGGCAACATTGAAAGGTTTGCTGTAATTATCCTTTCAGGTTAAACATCATATTTGGAGAGCTTTCCTAGGTGATGCTTTTGAGCCACAGGCTACCACTTACATGCACATGGGAAAAAATGTATATCAATGTTTCTAAACATCTTAAGAAGGCATCACAATAGCAAAATTTCTGAATATGTTTTCTTGATCCTCTCTCTCTCTCTCTCTCTCTCTCTCTTTCTCTCTCTCACCCCCCCCCCCTCTTTCTCTCTCTCTGGAACAACCCAATAGTCAAGGCGGACATACTAGTCGTACCTGGAGAAAACATCTCAGACAGTAAGATCTCTTACTTTTTTCAGGAGGAGAGCAAGTTTGGGACTCCTTTCTCTTTTTCCTTCTCCAAAAACAAACAAACAAAAAAAACAGAAACAAAAAAGAATCAAAAAGGCCTTTCTGCTAATCCAGAAGCAAAAATTTCCGATATTACAGCTCGTTATGGAGGGCCACTGGGCACGCTAGTGCTCAAGAGTTTCCTGGAAAGGGTTGTATCCACCCATTTGGTATCTGTGGCCCTTAAAGAAACTGCCTAACTCTACTGACCCAGAAGACCTAGAGAGAGACCATGCTTTGGGCTGAACATCTCTAAACATGGGTAGCTGGTCATAAAGAACTACCCATCAACTGTATGTAAGAGTAAAAAGGTCTTCTCTCTGCACTTCTGTGGAGGATAAATGTCTGTCAGCTCATTTTCCATTGACCGGAAAAAAATAACTGTGTTCTCTTCCTTCACTGCCACTTTCTAAGAAACACCCCCTTCCCCACTCCCAGCATAGACTCTGGTTGCAGGGAGAAGTCTCACAGTGGAAGGTAAATAAAATTACTACCCATGTAAGAGGACTCTGTTAAGTTCAGTGGGGAAAGGAGACTAGGATGAAATCTCAGAACAAGCACCCTTTTAAAGGTATTAGAAAAACCTAGAAAAGAACTTTGGCCACCTTTGTTTAAAAAGCAGAATCATGTACTGATTAATAACACATACTTGAATCTAGACCAGCTGGGTCTCTGATTCCCAGCCCTGCCACATACCATGAGATCTTGGGCAAGTTACTTAATCTCTCTATTTCCTCATCTTTAAAATGGGGCTATTAATAGCATCTACTTCATAGGGCTGAGATGACATCATTAATTAATGCATGCAAAGCTCCTAGAGCATGCCTGGCACCCAGTAACCTTGTTAGTAGGATTGCATTATACTGCTTCGTGAAGCTTACTTCAGTTGGCAAAACAATCACATGAGAGCTAATGAATTATTTCACTTGAGCCAAATGACAATGGCATAGTCATGCAAAGCCATTCTGATAACTAATGAAAGTGCTATATTAAGGATAGAACCTTTCTTTTTAAAAGAAAGCTGAGTCACACCTGACCCAAAGTAAAAACCACATAAAGGTCCAACTCTTCTGTTTTCCAGAATGTTAGGGAGCTCAGTTGTAAAGGACCTCTCCATCATGTATCAACCTTCACAATCTTTGCGGCCAGTAGGAAGAAGATAGCCCTGGAGGAGAAGGGAGAACAGTTTGAAGTCATCCCTGTAACAGGATCACTTTTGTGGACAACTGAAATGACAGGGCAATTCAGAGAGGACTGATGGCCCTTCTCCTAGTACAATATCTGTTACCCTTGTCTCTTGTGGCCCTGATGTTTCCTGGAGTCAGGTTATGGTGTCAATGGAGAAAACAGCTGGAAGGCTTCTCCACCGCCAACACATAATAAAAGTAATCACAGATGCACAGAAGCCACAGTGTCTCCTAGGGCCAAAAAGTAGAAAGAGTAATGCTTCTTTCATTCAATTAAAAACTGATTAAATATTATGCCTCTAGACATTGTGCTACATGCTTTACATGAATTATCTCACTCAATTCTCACAATGGCCCTACCATACTATGGTTATTACCACATTACTAACAAGTGAACTAAGGCTTACAGAAGTTAAGTAATTTGCTCAGTGTCACAGCTAGTAAATGTTAAAGTCAAAATCTGAACAAACTCAAATCCTCTATTCCAAATGCCCAATCAATTAAATAATTACTCAAGTTTGAAAATGTCATACATGTAGCCTAATGAAAGCTATAAAGAATTAAAGAAATAATGCTTGTCTTGGAGGTCTAAAGAAGGTGAGCCATATCCCTGGTGGTTCAAGTGGTTAAGAAAATATTTTAAAAAGAGAAAGTGAGCCCTAAAAACACAACACAACAGTGTCCAGCCCAATCCAGGAAGGGGCAACACTGAACTCATGAACACCATCTAAGCACGTGTGGACTTGAGGCAGTTTTTCAACCTCATTCCTCAAGACCCCATATCCCTCTTCTAGTTCCATTTTTGACAAAAGCCTTCATATTACAATTTGGTTTCTCTAATTCTTAGGTACAACAAAGAAGGTGCATTGATTTGCAGTTGGGAACTCTGTGGTTGCAAAATGGATCATCTTTCAATGTTAAATTAATAAGTTTGCATTCTGTCTCTTTCATCTGGCACTTAAAAGTCAGGTTACTCTGAGTCAGCTCCTGAGAATCCCTTTGGTTCTGGTGCACTAATAACCCACCAGCCTAAGAACAGACATAGACCACTGTGACTTCACAAGAAAGTATCACCTTGTGAAGTTCTGCTTTGGAGACCAGATGACCTAACTCAACAGCATCTTCATCTCTTCTCATTCTAACCACAACAATTAGGCTGTTGGATTTGTGTGAAGTTTATTGCTAGAAGATTGGCACAGTATAGCCCTGCTCTACTAGATATAAAGCCAAGAGGTCTTGAATGGAGAAGCATTGGGAAAGTGTAGGTCTCATTTCTAACTAGTTCATATTCATGGCGAGCATAGGCTCAAAACAATGAATGCCGGATATTCATGTTTCCAACAATTTGTGGCTTCATCAGCAATTGTGGGCTGCCAAAGCTGCAGGGGACTTCCTGGTTTTGACCCATCCCAAGAGTAACAGGACACAAGGCTGATAGGATGAAATATCCAAAGTCCACCCCCAGGATTCCATTTTTTTTCTTTTTTTTTTTTTGAGACAGAGTTTTGCTCGTGTTGCCCAGGCTGGAGTGCAATGGCACGATCTCGGCTCACCGCAACCTCCACCTCCTGGGTTCAAGTGATTCTCCTGCCTTGGCCTCCCAAGTAGCTAGGATTACAGGCATGCGCCACCATGCCCAGACAATTGTGGTTTTTTTTTTTTTTTTTAGTAGAGACAGAGTTTCTCCACGTTGGTCAGGCTGGTCTCGAACTCCTGACCTCAGATGATCCACCTGCCTTGGCCTCCCAAAGTGCTGGGATTACAGGTGTGAGCAACCACACCCACTGCCCCCCCCCACCCCCACAGGGTCCCTTTTAAGAAAGGCTACAAATTATAATTAGAGGGATGGTAATCAGAAATGAAATCAAACGTGTTGGGTTCAGAAAAAAACAGAAGATGCTATATTAGTGTATTCAGGAGAGGCACTGGGAGAAATAGACAAAATAAGAAAGAGAAAGGAGCAAAATGGATATGTTTTTGTGGCTGCAGAGTAAGAAGAACCAAGAGGTCATTTGGAGCTCACTTACATGGAACAGAATGTACAGTGGGACTAAGATTGCAGGGACCGTGTCCAGCGTCCCAGTTACAGCACCGTCTCTTTGTAGTAATGACACAAAGACTATGTAGTAAATAATAATTAAGGATGAAAGACGAGCTGTGGACAAAGGGTGAGATCAGGAGGGAAATAGGCTTTGGTTGTAAATAAAAGACACATATTCACATTTGCCCTAATGATGGTTCCCACGTGCCGTGGATCTTCAGGAACAGCCTTCCTTTTATGTAATTTTATGCTTCTCCGTAAAAATTATTTGTAAAATGTTTAATTAAATGTGATTTAAATTCTATAATTTTCTGAGGTATATCATATATATTAATTTGAAAATTTAAAAATCCACCTATAATTTGCCTTTTTAGGGTTTATGAAATATAGTAACTATAACCATCTTTGCTGTTACGCTAATAATTAAAGATCTAGACTAAGTATGTGTATGGAAAATATGTTTTATAAATCACATGGAAAACACATTCTATTCACCTTGATTTAATCTTTGTAGGAGATTGGTCAGAGTGGTGGGAGAAACTATAGGGAAAGGATGCAAACCTTCTGAAAGTTCAGAAGGCTCTGCATAGCTTCAGGGGAGAATAAGCTGAAGGCAGCTGTTCTCTGATCCTGAGGCAGAGGGCAAGGAGTAGGTACAAGGAGGTGTAGGGGAATTTATCGTAAACAGGCTTGTTTACTTAGGTTGTCCAGAAACCGACCTTTGATAATCTGTGCACATGACTGCTCCCTGAAAAGGGGAACAATAATGTTAATTACCCGCAGATTGTGTTTGCTCCAGGCTTTCGGCATTATGTCTGTACTGAATAAAAGCAAGCAGCTTCAGCTGTTCGCAGCTGCTCTCTTCTTTGGCCCTAAGTGCCGGCAGACCCCTAGCTGCTCTTACACTGCACGCCTGTGTTGTCAGTACTCCCTTCATCCGACGCTCGGCCAGGGTCTGCAGGACAGACCTGGCAAATCTTCAGCAAAAATCCATCACCAGAGTTCCTACTGGATGTTTCCCCCACAAACACACAGACACTACGATGTTCTACTGCCACTGTAACAAAGTGACATGCATTTCATGGCTCAAAATAACACAAAACACGAATGTACTATCTTACTGTTCTCTATTTCAGAAATCTGACTTGGGACTCAGTGTACTAAAATCAAAGTGTTGGAGGTCCTGGGGGGGATTTGTTTTATTGCCAAACTTTTCCAGCTTTCAGAGGCTGCTCACATTCCTGGGCTTGTCCACCATTTCCATCTTCACCATCAGCCATCTCGTCACCCTTAACTCTGCCTTCATCACATCTCCTTCGCCAACACTGACTGAATCTTCTACTTCCCTCTTCCACCTTTTTTTTTTTTTTTTTGAGACGGAGTCTTGCTCTGTCACCCAGGCTGGAGTGCAGTGACGCGATCTTGGCTCACTGCAACCTCCACCTCCCAGGTTCAAGCCATTCTCCTGCCTCAGCCTCCGGAGTAGCTGGGATTACAGGTGTGCAGGCATGCAGGCATGCAGGCATGTGCCACCATGCCCAGCTAATTTTTGTGGGGTTTTTTGTTTGTTTGTTTGTTCGTTCGTTTAGTAGAGACAGGGTTTCACCATGTTGGTCAGGCTGGTCTCGAACCCTTGACCTCGTGATCCACCCACCTCGGCCTCCTAAAGTGCTGAGATTACAAGCGTGAGCCACCGTGCCCAGCCCCTCTTCCACTTTTAAAGACATTATGATTATCTTGGGCCCACCTGAATAATTCAGGATACTCTCCCTATTTTAAGGCCAGCTGATTAGCAACCTTAATTCTACTTGTGACTTTAATTACCTTTTTGCCAAGTAACATCAGCTATTCACAGGCTCTGGGTATTAGGACCTGGGCATCCTTCGGGGACCATTATTCTTCCTCCCACACCAAAGGAAACAGAGAGAGGGAGGGGAAAAGAGACAGCCCATGTATTATCTCTCTAAAACCCCAAAACCAAAACTGGAGTAAGCAATAAAGTCACGAGTGTTTAAATTCACGAACCAATCAAGCTTCCCGGTTGTACTTCAACCCTCAGGGAACATTCTGACATAAGGAGAGCATATGTTTAAGGCTATATCTTAACTAATAGTTTGAAGATGTAAACATACTCCATAACCTTGTGGGGTCATCTCTTTAGAGCAACAATAATAACAATTAACATTTACTGAGTGCTTCCAATGTGCCAAAGTGTTAAGTGTTCTCTATGTGCATTTGCTATACAACTACCCATTTTGCAGATGAAGAAAGTGAGGCACGAGAGGTTCACAGCCAGTCACACAGATAGTTAGTGCCACAGCCAGGATTCACACCCAGGACCATGGGACTCCAAATCCTGCACTTTTAACCGTCATGAAAAACTGCCTCTTCCTCCTTTTTTTTTTTAACCAATATACACTTTGCAATAATTTATTCCCTAATTGACAGAGCTAGAAGGAAAAGACCAGAGTGGGACCTAACCAAAGGCATTTGGAAATGGCTTTTACCTGTATTTGGAAACTCAAGCCTTCCTAGGGAAGAACTATGAGTTCACTGCTCCACTCTACCTTAAACCCCAGTTATTATAACACGATGTGAACTTTCCATATGTTACATTGTTCACATCAAGTTATAATAACTGGGGCTTAAGGTAGAGTGGAGCAGTGAACTTATAGTTCACTGCTAGGGTGGAAAGAGTGCCTGCCCTAAAATAACTTTAAACAGATAACATGATAATAGTAAGAATAAAATATAGCAAAACAAAAAATTGGGGATTATGTTTAGGATATAATTTATATAGAAAAGTGAGATTTTAAAAGCCACAAAGCATATTAAAATAAATTCTGTAAGTTTAGAACACTCTATAAAAATATATATGACTTCTCAGCAAAAGTATCCAAAACCAGAACATAGATATAGGCTTATTTCACCTAGCTAAAATAGAGTATTCTAACACACTCACACATACACACACAAACACACACAGACACATTTTCATAATAGTATCACTGAGTACTTTTTAATGTATAATGCATAGATTATCTCCTTTCGTTTCCACAACAACCCCATCAATCAGGGCTGAGTATTAATCTCAGTTCACAGCTGTGGAAATTAAAGACTGAAGAACTGGGTAGCAATGGCAGAATTGGGATGTGAACTGACAGCTGGTAACCAGGGTATTCATCAGCATAAATCTAGACTGAGCTTTACATGGACTAAGTTTATAAAATGTAAACTCCTGAAGTTCCTGTTTCTCCTTAAGTTCACCTGGGGACAGAATTATAGCTTTTAGGCTAGACTTTTTCATCTAGCCCTTGTGACTTCCTGACAACTTCATCGGTCTCCCCTCTGTCCAGACTTGTGGGATCCTGACTTCAGGGTGGAATACGGGTGTTTTTTAATCATTCTCCTCCTCTGCCCTCATCTCTGCACAGCAGTCTACAGATTACAAAGCTTGTATGTGTACCCTACAGACCTATTACATAGCTTCTGTATGTATATTACATACAGATTACATGTATCATGTGTGTACATTGCTTGAAAATTACATAGTTCAAGTATGTTTGTTACATACCAATTATGTGGCTCATGTATGTAAAGTACACACCTATTACATAGCTAATGTATATATATTACATGTAGATCACAAAGCTTATGTATGTACATTAACTCACTTGCTCCCCACAACAACCCTCTAAACTACAAGGAAAATTATTGGCAGTCTCATTTTCATGGTAAGAACTTTGAGACCAGAGAGGTTAATGTTGCTAGGTGGGTGGGTTAACGGTAGAGCGTGGACTTTAAACCCCTAGCCCAAAATCCTTCCCACTAGTCCAAACTGCAACAAAGATGCAGAAAATGTCACCATCAAGAAGATCTTCAAAAATTAAAAAAAAAAAAGTTTTAGTTAGAATAACAGAGCTTTGAAAAGCAAATATTCCAAACCAAAAGAAAGGAGGGAAGGGAAAAGAAAAACCTGTATCGCAAACTAAAAATCGAGTCGTGATTAGTAATCTACGAGCAGTAAAATAGGTAATGAGAACAGCATTCACGCATATAGAAGGGAGAAACCTAGAAGTAAATGTGAGAAGACACTGTACACATGGGTAAAGTCTCTGTAAGCACATGGGTGAAATACGAACCAGCAGCCATGTAGGGAGTGGGCTCTAGGGCCCCTTTGCCATTAACTCACTGCACAACCTTAGGCAAGTCTTCCTCCTTTCACTGCCTTAGTTCTTACATCCATAAGAAAAAGTCCATCGTGGTAGTTACTTGTCCATAAAGCAAGTTGAGAGCCTTGAACAAAAAAATATTTTGGCAAAACATATGATTACTCCCTGTCTAAAAGCCTACTGAATAGGACACATATCAAACATATACAGTTTAAGGTACCATAATAGACACCGTGTCTATTATGCAATCCTCTCGAATAACAAATGCAGCATATACACACCACAGGGTCAATTTATTGACATAATAATAGTCAATTTATTATTGACTATTATTATGTCTTCTTTCTCACGGCAGAAAAGTAGTTAATGCTGTGCTCTTACTCTAATATCCCTGAATATCTTACTAAGTCAATCAAAATTAACAAGCAAACTTCCATTGTCTCTCCTCTGGACAGGGGCAGTCCCTTCCTGGCCATCCCCACCACTTCACTCTCACCCTCATTCATTCTCCATGAGACAGCTAGGGTGATCTTTTTGAAGATCACAGTGCAGTACTCCCCTGCTTAAAATCTTCATTTTCCACATCTCTTGTGTTGAAGATCAAAATACTCAGCAGAGCTGAGAAAGCCCAGAACGACCCTGTGTCCTGTGCGCCACCAGCGTCCTCTCACCCTGCCCTCCTCCTCACCTTCTCTGCTCCACACAGGGTAGGCATTCAGTAAATACTTGTTCAATGAATGAAAAGGCAAACAATGGGTTTTTTGTGTGAACAATGTATTAAGGTTTGTTTCTGAATAAGAAGCAACATTGGCCGCATGCAGTGGCTCGCGCCTGTAATCTCAACACTTTGGGAAGCTGAGCCAAGCAGATCTTTCAAGGTCAGGAGTTTGAGACCAGCCTGGCCAACATGGTGAAACCCCATCTCTACAAAAAATACAAAAAATAGCAGGGCATGGTGGTGGGCGCCTGTAATCCCAGCTGCTCGGGAGGCTTGAACCTGGGGGGTGGAGACTGCAGTGAGCTGAGATGGCGCCAGTGCACTCCAGCCTGGGCAACAGATCAAGACTCTGTCTCAAGAAAAAGAAAAAAAAGAAAGAAAGAAAAACGAAGAAGAAGCAGCAATATTTGAGTGAACCAAACAAATACATGATTGAGTTTCAGGCAGCAACAACTATCAAGTGGGGAAGAATGCTGGGAGCAAGGACCTTCCAACAGCCTTGCATACCCTTGCCCTGCCGCAACATGAACCACACTGAGCTAAAGGTAAAACCTATAAGGACAAGACTTCAGCAAATTGCATGAGATGATGTTTCAGCTACCAACACCACAGCTAACTCAAAACATCTCCTCCTAAGGCAAAAGAAAGTAACGCCCAGCGAGGACTAAAGCTAACACGCAGGTTAATTCCAGGATCACTAACAACAACGGTCTTTGTGTAAAGGATTTATTTGATTACCTATCATGTCCATCAGATTAAGATAATCATAAGGAGAAAAAGAAGAGTGAAGTCGTTTCAGCTTTGCAACAGCACTTCCCACCCATTTGCAGGGATCTGTTTTTCCTGCTGTTGTGTTAAGGGAATGAAATCACTGCACAGGCCTTTTGCACAGAGGCAGTGCAAAAGGATTTAAGGATCTTTCTAAAACCAGGCTTAAGTCAGAGTGTTCTGGCAGTCCTTTGAAAGAAGTTATCTAGCTGAAACATCACTTGCCTCCTCAGAAAGGTTTGGTGTCAGCTGGAAAAGGAAGGAAGCTGGAAGGAGGGAGGAGGTGCCCTCCTTCTCTGAAGGTGATAATGATAAATGAGGATCAACTACCAGTATGATGGGCTAGGCCAACCCATTTTTCTCAGGCTTATACCAAGGTACTGAATGATAAGTATGTCACTCAGATGATGATGACTTCATCGCAGCTATGTGAAAAGATCTTGACAACCAGGTTTTCTCTACTGGTGATGGTGCTAAATTGCTTTGTCTCCTGAGCACTGGCAACTCTGAATTCTAGGTATAAATGGGTAAAGATCAGTAACTGCTCCTAAGCACCCCAGAGCAGACCCTCACATAATAGGTTGTGTCATTTGACAGAATACTGAAAGGCCAAACAAAATAAAACTAAACTGTTGGATCTAGAGGCTGAAGGATCTTTAAAGGTAGGAGTGGGAGGGAGTGAGGGATAAAAGACTGCACATTGAGTACAGTGTACACTGCTCTGGTGATGGGTGCACCAAAATCTCAGAAATCACCACTAAAGAACCTATCATATGAAAAAAGGCTCAACATCACTGATAATTAGGTAAATGCAAATCAAAACCACAAGATACCAACTCACACCAGTCAGAATGGTGATTATTAAAAAGTCAAGAAACAACAGATACTGGTGAGGTTGTGGAGAAATGGGAATGCTTTTACATTGTTGGTGGGAATGTAAATTAGTTCAACCATTGTGGTAGACAGTGTGGCAATTCCTCAAAGATTTAGAACTGGAAAGACCATCTGACCCAGCAATCCTGCTACTGGATATCACCCCAACAGACCTGGTGGCCTGCCAAAAAAATATTAAATCATTCTATTATAAAGATATATGCACATGTATGTTCATTGCAGCTACTACTCACAATAGCAGAGACATGGAATCAACCCAAATGCCCATCAATAATACACTGGATAAAGAAAATGTGGTACATACACATCATGGAATACCATACAGCCATAAAAAGGAACAACATCATGTCCTTTGCAGGGACATGGATGAAGCTGGAAGCCATTATCTTCAGCAAACTAACACAGGAACAGAAAATCAAACACCACATGTTATCACTTATAAGTGGGAGCAGAACCATGAGAACATCTGGACACAGAGAGGGGAACAACACACACAGAGGCCTTTCAGGGGAGGGCGGGTGGGGAGAGCAGTAGGGAAAAGACCTATTGCATGCTGGGCTTAATACCTAAGTGATGGGTTGATAGGTGCAGCAAACCACCTGGCACATGTTTACCTATGTAACAAACCTGCATATGTAACCCAGAACTTAAAATATAATAATTTAAAAAAATAGATTGCATCATCTGCAAACAAAAAAATTCATTAATGTAATTGAAAACCACCTGTTTCCCAAAAACTATTAAAATAAAAATTTAAAATAGTTTTTAAGTAGGAATTGTGTCATATTAGTCTATTTATAAAACCAGAGTACCCCTAAAGGAAATCTTCAATAAAATTAATAACTAAGTTAGAAGATTTTAAGTCATATGATTTGTGGCTGTGGAATTCAACCAATAATGAAATTGGAGATGAAATGCACAGTTTGGGGGTATGAGATAAAAAGCAATAAAAACATTTTAAATATAGCCAACCACTTTAAATGAGCAGGTGCTTGAATCAATATCCCACAACTGCAAAAATTTTAGTGAACCTAAAGTATTGTCTCTATGGCAAAGTAAAAAAGGAAGAAAGAAGAAGAGGAAGAGGAAGAGGAGGAGGAAGAGGAGGAAGGAGAAGGAGGAGAAGAAGAAGAAGAAGAGAAGGAAGAAGGAAGAAGGAGGAGGAGGGAGAAGGAGAAGAGGAGGAAGGAGAAGAAGACGAAGAAAAGGAAGAAGAAGGAGGAGGAGGGAGAAGGAGAAGAGAAAGGAGAAGAAGAAAAGGAAGAAGAAGAAGATGACGACGAGGGGGGAGGAGGAGGAAGAAGAAGAGGAAGAAGAAGGAGAAGGAGAAGAAGAAGAAGAAGAGGAGGGGGGAGGAGGAAGGATAAGGAGGAGGAGAAGAAGAGGAGGAGGAGGAAGATGAAGGAGGAGGAGGATAAGAAGAAGAAGAAGAGAAGGAAGAAGGAAGAAGGAGGAGGAGGGAGAAGGAGAAGAGGAGGAAGGAGAAGAAGAAAAGGAAGAAGAAGATGACGACTGGGGAGGAGGAGGAAGAAGAAGAGAAAGAAAAAGAAGAAGAAAGAGGAGGAGGAGGGGGAGGAGGAGGAGGGGGAGGAGGAGGAGGAGGGGGAGGAGGAGGGGGAGGAGGAGGCGGGGAGGAGGGGGAAGAGAGGGAGGAGGGGAGGAGGAAGGGGAGGAGGGGAGGGGGGGAGGAAGAGGAGAAGCAGGAGGAAGAGGAGAAGAAGAAGAGGAGGAGGTGGAGGAGGAAGAGGAAGAAGGAGAAGAAGGAGAAGGAGGGGGAGGAGAAAGGGAGAAGGAGGAGCTCAATGGCAACAGGGAAGGAAACTAAAGTTTTACATCACTGGATCCTGACTTTTTAAACTTATATACTCCTTTGAAAAGTTAATGAGGCCAGGTGAAGTGGCTCATGCCTTTTATCTTACCTCTTCGAGATGCTAAGATAGGAGAATTGCATGAGCCCAGGAGTTTGAGACCAGCCTAAGCAACGTAGCAAGGCCTCGTCTCTACAAAACATTAAAAAAAGAATTTGCCTGGTGTGGTGATGCACGCCTGTAAGTCCCAGCTACTGGGGAGGTGGAGGCAGGAAGATCACTTGAGCCAGGAGGTTGAGGCTGTAGTGAACCATGATTGCACCACTGCCCACAGCTCAGGCAACAAAGTGAGACCCTGTCTCAACAAATAATAATTAATTTAAAAAAATTTCTTTTGAGATGGAGATTCACTCTTGTCACCCAGGCTGGAGTGCAATGGTGTGATCTCAGCTCACTCCAACCTCTGCCTCCTAGGCTCAAGCAATTCTCCTGCCTCAGCCTCCAGAGTAGCTGGGATTACAGGTGCACGCCACCATGTCCAGCAAATTTTTTGTATTTTTGGTAGAGACGGGGATTTCACCATGTTGGCCAAGCTGGTCTTGAACTCATACCCTTAGGTGATCAATCCACCTGCTTCGGCCTCCCTAAAGTGCTGGGATTACAGGCATGAACCACCAAGCCCGGCCTAATTGAAATTTTTAAATACAACAGTTAATAAAAGCTTCTATTCCTCAGAAAAGCAAGCATATAAGCATGCAGAGAAATTTTTGCATATAGTTTTAGAGATTTTACTAACTTCTTAAAGTCTATCTATTGCATTCCATGTTTAAAATTGCAGCTGCAATTGACTGTTTTCAGCTGGGAACATTTTCCCAATGGATAAGATGCTACAAGGGCATAAGCATGAGTGGTCAAGTAAAGCTGATATAAAACACTTTGTTACAGCATGATCCTCAGACCGTTTTCTCATATTTCTATTTGTCCAGGAAAAAGGGGCCAACAGAGAGATGATGTGAGTTATGAAGTCTTCAATACAGTATTTCAAATGAGGAAGAAAACAACAGCCAACTTGAGTCGCTTACAAATAGTATCTGTATATAGTGTCTGTTCATGTCCTTTGCCCACTTTTAATGGGCATGTTTTATTTCTATAAATGTCTAATCTTCTTATGTAACCTTCCAACTCATAGGATAATAGCATAGCAATTTTGCCTGAAGACCTACTACTCATCTGTGCTGAAATATCATGTGTAGTAAAAATGTATTTGAGAGTCATTTTGGCCATCTTTCTCTACTATAAAGAACGGGTGCCTATAAAATGCTTCATTAATGGAATGGTTGTCTTGAAAAGGCACACAAACAGACGGTGTACCCAGTTCATGACAGCTACCTTCTGACAGGGCTCCCTTCTGACCCCAACACACCCACATGCAACCCCATGCATTCACTCAACAGCTGAGCTGTCTTACAAAGTACCCACTCCCTTTCAAGACGACAACTGAGTTCATCAGAAAGATGAATCAAATGTGAAAACTACAAATGTTTCAGCCAGAAAATCATGCAAAGCAGAATGATTTTGATTCTGAACAATTTGCACTCTACAGAAATACCAAAAGAAATCCTGAAACCATATTGCAAGTGAAATGCTTGTGAACCAAAAGGATCAGTAAATGTTGGCCATTTACTGAGGAAGCAGTTGGAGGCTTCATCCCTCGCGTTCTTTAAGAATACTTCAAAAACAAGCTCAGCACTCTGCCGTTGTCCTCCCTAAAAGCAAAAATCTGCAACAAGTGGCTCAGCGTTGCTTTTCTTTCCAGTCCTGCGATTCCAAAAATCCTGGCATTTACAGGCCATTTTATCCTTCTTAAAAATGTAAAATTTAAAAGAATGTGATGAACGTTTTTAAATTCTAGAAAAACTATGTCACTAAAGTGAATTCATTTTAGTTCCTTATTTGCCAATTAAAATGTGTTAATTGACTTAAGTTTTTCTAAAATGGAATAAGTCGCAGGAGCCCATTTTTCCAATTATTCTAGCCATTCTTTTGTCTTCCAATACATACACATAGTATCTGAAAGGATGTTCACCAAATGTCACCAAACGTTGTGTGTGTGTGGTAGAATTTTTAAATATTTTTTCCTGTACCATCATGTATCACTTGATTTTGTATAATAAGCATGTATCATTTCTTTTAATGCTTTTAAAATGATGCTTTTAAAAAAGCATCATTTCTTTTAAAATCCAATGGAACTCTACACATTAGAAGTTATGGAAAACCAGGGCCGGGTGCGGTGGCTCATGCCTATAATCCCAGCACTTTGGGAGGCCGAGGTGGGTGGATCACAAAGTCAGAAGTTCAAGATCTGCCTGGCCAACATGGTAAAACCCCGTCTCTACTAAAAACTACAAAGATTAGCCGGGCGTGGTGGCACGCACCTGTGGTCCCGGCTACTCGGGAGGCTGAGGCAGAAGAATCGCTTGAACCCGGGAGGTGGAGGTTGCAGTGAGCCACGATCACATCACTGCACTCCAGCCTGGGCGACAGGGCGAGACTCTGTCTCAAAAAAAAAAAAAAGAAGTTATGGAAAATTGGCTGGGCAGGGTGGCTCATGCCTGTAATCCCAGCACTTTGGGAGGCCAAGGCAGGCAGATCATGAGGTCAGGAGTTCAAGACCAGCCTGGCCAACATGGTGAAACCCCGTCTCTACTAAAAATACAAAAAATTAGCTGGGCATGGTGGTGCGCACCTGTAATCCTAGCTACTCGGGAGGCTGAGGCAGGAGAATCGCTTGAACCCAGGAGGCGGAGGTTGCAGTGAGTCAAGATTGCGCCATTGCACTCCAGCCTGGGTGACAGAGCAAAACTCCATCTTGAGAAAAAAAAAAAAAGAAGTTATGGGAAACCATCATATAACAGTACTAGAAGAGACTATTTCTCCCCAGTGCTCTCAGATCTCACCACCAGTTTTTCCTGGCCCTGGTCCTGCTATGACACAAGAAATCTTTTGCTCAAGGATAAGTCCTATAAATCAAAACTCCCACACATGGACATAAAATGAGACAGTGGCCAAATCTATGGGGTTGATAAGTCACTGCCACTCAGACATGCCTGAAATAATTAGAGAAGCATTAATTTCATTGTAGATTCTGGTGAGAGAATTTAGAAAAAGGCAGTGCAGCCCGGCCCTTGCACATGCTAAAGGTAAATGTTTTCTTCCTTGGTAAGTCTGGGTCCAGGCGAACAGGAACCAGAGCTGACCATAACTTTGATGACCAGGAACCGTCCACATCCACAGAACACTGGTTGCCACCACTCGCCAAACAAGTCTCTCTAGTTCCCTCATTTGCTCTATTTTTATCACTTGTCTCTTTTGTCTTTTTCTCATATCTGAGATGTAAGTGACTGTCGGCACTCTTTCTAAGCACTCTCCAAGCTTCCCTGAGGCTTGGAGGCTCATTTTTCCAGCTCGTGCACAGTGAAATAAAAAATATTCAGAGACTCTTCCCTGATAAGGTTTTGTTGTAAGACTGGGAGGAGCAGAGCTGGTGTGCTTTTGGGTGGCTTTATTTGTAATTGGAAAAGATTGGCCTTCATGGATGGTTAATCTATACCCAGGAGAGGCGTTTTCCTACTTTCTAGTTCTATAACTCACAGTCCTAAAAGGAGCAGAAGTTGATGGCATCAGGAGACCTGTGTTAAAATCCTGACTCTAAAAAGTTTATGATTGAGTCAACATACATTTGCAAAATACCACCAAGAAACCAGACTTTGGTGCTCAAAAATGGAAGACATAAACTCTGCTTTCAAGAAGCCTGCGGTCTCAGAAGGGTGTGGCAAATGCAGTATAATGGAGTGAAAGAACGGAGTGGACTTCATCCCAGGCACAGGAGGTGGCTGCGCCTGGCTAGGGGCTCCCAGCTTCCACCATGAGGTGGGATGCCAAGGTGTCTGCCCCTCTGGAGGACCTCGGCATCCAGAAGAGGCAGTTTCCTCCTAGAGGGTCACCCAACTCATGCAGGAGAATTCAGAAAATGATTGTTGAAGGAGGTAGCCCTTGAACTATAGAAGAGGTAGGGGTGAGTGACTTTCCAGGCAGGGAGGACAGCACAGACTCGGGCAGTGTCACCTATGAATTCATGTGCTCAATTACACTGTACATGCGAATCAGCTCTGGATCATTCATCCCTATGAGACCCTGATTCTTTGTCTGCAAAATGAAGACAACAACCCTTGCCTGGATACATAAAGAGTTGTGAGGATTCAATAAAGAATATAAAAGAGCTACACCAATTGGCAAGTCCTATTATTATGAAAGAGAAGTGTGGTACAGGACCTGTCAAGATTCAACCCAAGATAACAGTGCTATGTGGAGAAAGAATCTAGCCCTGGCTCTGCCACTAACCTCCCCACCACCATAGGCCTCAGCTTTCCTCATCTGTCCAATTAGTGGCTTGGAACCAGAAAGGCCAGAAGCCCTTCCTGCGCTGATATTTTATTTGTAAGTCCCCTTTAAATCCAACTGCCAGTAACTAGCACGTGGCTCCCGCCCCCAGACTGCTTCTTTATTCATTCCTAACCTTTACCTTGGCAGATGAAATATAAGATTCATCAACCACATTTGACAGCCCATGGCAGGTTTCCTGTTTTCCATCGTCCCTCTGCAGGTCACAGACACACAGAGCCCAGCCGTGGCAGGCTCAGCCGGGGTCCGGGGCTGCTAACAACGGCTACATTCCTCCCCCAGGGCCAAGGGAAATCCTGAGCGCAGGCCAGGGTTGTTTGGTTTTGAGGTGTGCTGGGATGAAAGGCACCCTGGAAGTGGAAGGTTCGGTCATTCATTAATTAATTACATCTATAATTGAGGGTTTGTTCTTAAGAGCGAGTCCTTTGAAAGTACTTTCCTTCAAACAGTGACTGCCACAAAGGCATCAGATATTCACCACCTTCTCGGCTGCCTCAGCACAGCAAGCTTTATTCTGGGACCTGAGATCCTGTTCTGAGCTGGCTTTCCCTTCTCCAGGCTCGCTCACCCTCCCTTTAGAGGTGGGGCTTATTGGGGGTGGAAAAAGGTGTGTGTATCTCTGTTGTTTAATGTCTGGTTTTTTGTTGCTGTTGTTGTTGTTTTGTTTTGGTTTTGGTTTTTGGTTTTTTTTAAGGAAATCTATACTACATCGAATATGCTTTCTTTTGGGTGGACTTTAACCTAACCCATTCCAGGTAAATGAACAATGGAAAAACTTCACGGCAAGATTAGAAAGATACCTGAGCCCAATACCCGCCTGATGTCGTGGGCCACACCTCCGGGTTACCAGGGGAAGGGAGGAAGCAAACTGTCATATTGATGTGGCTCTAAACAACAACAGTGTGCGAAGGCCCAGGGGCACTTTGGGATTGACCAAGAGGAAACACAAGTTGCACAATGATACAATCTTGTTGGTACAATTGTCAGAGAAGGGAACTCCCACAGCAAAGGCCATAAAACCATCCAGGGCAGTCTGGGGCGGCTCAGTTCTGCGGTGCCAGGGAGTGGAGCAGAGCTCAGCCCCGTCCCAAACACAGATGGGACCATGAACTCCGGACACAGCTTCAGCCAGACCCCCTCGGCCTCCTTCCATGGCGCCGGAGGTGGCTGGGGCCGGCCCAGGAGCTTCCCCAGGGCTCCCACCGTCCATGGCGGTGCGGGGGGAGCCCGCATCTCCCTGTCCTTCACCACGCGGAGCTGCCCACCCCCTGGAGGGTCTTGGGGTTCTGGAAGAAGCAGCCCCCTACTAGGCGGAAATGGGAAGGCCACCATGCAGAATCTCAACGACCGCCTGGCCTCCTACCTGGAGAAGGTTCGCGCCCTGGAGGAGGCCAACATGAAGCTGGAAAGCCGCATCCTGAAATGGCACCAGCAGAGAGATCCTGGCAGTAAGAAAGATTATTCCCAGTATGAGGAAAACATCACACACCTGCAGGAGCAGGTAAGATGCTGGGTGACCCTGGAGATCCAGATGGGGCTGCTTTGCCAGGGGACCCTCGGGAGGAAAAATGAGTCCAGAAGACAATTTCCAGGAAAATGGCATCAGCGCTTGAAGTAATTGTGCACAAAGGTTTTGGGGGATGTTTTCTTATTATATCTTAAATTTGGAGTGGGAAACGTCTGTTTTGTTTAATTAGTCTACTGTCCATGGATAATGTAGAAAAAGAAGGCAGCAAAAATGATAGAAGTGCTACAGACTGTTTCAAAAATGAGACTACTGATTTCTCACAGACCAAAAACATCTTTAAAATGTGAGGCAACCAGCTGCTGTTTAATGTCACTTATGACCCAACGATGTCATAGAAATGATAAGGGCTGGTGTTCATGCTGCATGCTCAGTGCACCAGGCATAAGAGAGTGTTTACTTTCTCATTACCTCAGTTCTGCTCCACCTCAAACTTTTTTGAACAATGTGGTTATCCATCGACAAAAGGCTGTTACACTATTTTGAAGATTATGCCTAAAAGTTGTCACCACACCAGCATATAGGTCATCATGACATCCCTAGATATTTCCGTTTGTGGGTTGCTTGCAGTAAAGTTGCTCACAGTTCTGACAATGGCATATTGCTAGAACCAATAATAATAAAATGAGCATAATTTTTAGAATCTGAGAGTTGAGATGGCTATAAAGACCTTGTTCAAAAAAAACCGAACTCTTTAACCAAACCTCAAAAAAGCTAAGCAAATACCTTCTGGGATGTCTCATAACATTAGCTAGAAGTAGAAGGAATCCAATCATCTCATAGGTTATGTTTTAAAGCTATCTAACTCCCCTCTTATATAAAGCAGTCCCAGAAAATTCCCTGTAAGACCATGATTTAACCTCCCCTAGAAAGGGTATCACAAGTTTCCAATATTTATATATATTATTTCACAATGCTCAGTCATCCTTGCTTGAATGTAGGAAGGACCAGTCAAGATAATATAAATCTGTCCTTGTAATGAACCCTAATTATTGAATAATCAACCTAATAACTGACTGTAATTACCTTAACTATATAGTGCATGGTTGTCTTTATGAAAAAAAAAAAAAAACAAGGTGACTCAACAGTCCTCATCATGTTTTTTTGTTTAATAAAGTTGCTTTGGTTGTAGAAAGGAGGAATTGAAGATTTTTGCAAATGGAGAGCAAAGGGAGACCATGACTCCCAAAAGAAATACAAGGTTAGAACCAGTCAAATAATTTATGAGCTCGCGGAAGAGATTTAAAAAAAAGAAAGGGAGGAAAGAGAGGGAAATGTTTACTGAGCACTTATTATGTACCTAGGCATCCTGCTGGATATTTAATACACATGTCAACACTATCCAAGAGTTTTCTGCAATGATGGAAATGTTCCATATTATTTTATTTGATTCTGCAAGAACCCTGTAAGGAAATGGAAGCTTGGAAAAAAGTGAAATAGCCATCCAAAGCCATCAGCAAGAAGCAGAGGTGGGATTCTAACTCAGGTCTGTTTCCAGTAGCCTCATAAATTTCACTACAGTGTAGTGCTGCCTAGCCCACCTCATATAAAAATGACACTTAGTATGAATAAAGATAATGCATTATACTTGCATCATTAACCACACATCACATACTTCATACACATTGTCTCATTTAATCCTCACAACTGTGTGGAGCAGGTATTTGTATTCTCAACTTACAGATAAGGAGACTGAGACCTAATCATTGTCTAAATCCTTTGGAACAGAATTGAGAAAAGTGAGTAGGTGCAATGGGGGGTGTGGGGAGCAACCTGCCCACCCTTCAGATGACCTGGAATTCTGGGTTCTGAGATTGAATAGGAAACTTCTTTGGCTTTGAATTTCACTCTTTTCTGGATTTTTACCTCTAACATTGTGTTTTCTCTACACTTGAAGAAAGAAACTCTTTAAAGTTGAGGTTGTCTATCTACCCCAACCTCCCTCATTTGAAGATGAGAAAACAGAGGTGCAAGGAGGTCCCACAATTACCTGGGGCTTATCCTTCCTGGACCTTGGTGAAATGCTCTGAGTGGATACAGTTCTCCCGTACCCTCACTTTAGGTATATTAAATATCACTCAAAAGGTTGATAACAAGTTGAGCTTAAAAATTAATTCAATCCTTTTGAAATCCAGAATTGGACACAGTCATAGGAGTATCATAAATAAAACACCTTGAATGATTCTCAATCGGACTATATTTGGCATTTTTGTTTACAGTCAAACATTCTGTTTTCCTCTCCCTAGTAGATCAAACATCCTGAAGCAACAATGCTGCAAGAATATGCCAACTTGCTTTTAAAAGAATGAACTGAGGGCCTTCAGGAGAATCTGGGTGATTAATTACAACACTCAGTAAAAAACCTATGCCTCATATATCGTTTCTCAACCCATCTTCATCCACTTATTACCATGAAGATTGTGTCAGAAATGATGGTTATATCATAATTCTGTACTAAGTAAGCCTGAATAATGGGAAATAGTTTTAAACGTGCTCTATATCAAGCACATTTCAGAATTCACATTTGTGTGCTATGAGAATGATAGCTGGGGGAATCAGACACTTGAGGTGGACTTTGCAATGGATAAATTACCAATTTAACCCAGAAAAGCTAAATAAGCCCATAGACAGTATTTTTGATTTTCTGATTCTCTGGATGTAGATTAACACCTCATAGTGTGTGTCAAATAGAAAACCTCAGTGCACAAGTAAGTAAGGGTTACCCCACAATGGCCCCCAGGCTCTTTGGGATAGAGCTACTTTTCATTTTGCAGGAGCTTACATAATGCAAAGAATAAGGGGTCTGGAGGGAGAAGTATTGGTAAGAATGCCCCTAAGCAGCACTGTGGAGAGGAGACAAGGAAATATCTAAAAGTGTCCTTCTTTATAGCAAGGGAAGGGGCCATAGTACCATTTGGAATCCCACAAGAGGAAAAAGAATGAGGCAGGAGCAGCCAGCCTGGCTATGTCCCACCATGAACAGCAAAAGTCTGAGCAGGCATCTCAGCATATAGAACCTGGGGATGTTCACAGTGTAGTCACTGAATCTATAAAAGTGCTAGATTTTTAAAAAGAAAGGTGTATTATTTACTTTTTTCTGAACAAATTCAGTTTCGACCAATTTTTCACTGTCTATAATATGCCGATAATATGCTATTTGACATTATTTGACATACTCTCTTCTAATTCTCATAACTCTTTGATGAAGTAACTATTGTTATTGCTATTTTATGGATGAATAAACTGAGACTCAGCCAAGCTCACTCAGCCAATCTCACCCAGCCAGTAAGCGCGGAGCAGGATCCCAGGCCCTGCTCTTTGAGTTCCAGACCCAGCATTCATGCCATCTCTAAATCCTGCTATTGTGCATTCATGATACCAAATTCCATGGGATCAGTGGAGCTTTAAATAGGACCAGACTTTTAAAAGGTGCCTTTGTACTGAAGTATAGCTTTGTCCTAAGAAAATGCTTTCTAAATAAAGGAATGAGCTATGTAAATATAATGGGAATTACCCAGGATTCTCTGACTCCAACTAAATTACAGAAACTTAGAGCTAAGACCTCTAAGGTCCTCTGTCTCTAGTACAGACTCCTTATTTGACAATGGATGAAACTGAGGCCTGGAGAGTAGAGTGATGCAGCCTGATGCATCCACATGGATGGTCAAGAACAGAGCCAGAACCAAAGAAAAGCTCTAAGTTTCTAGTCCAGCACAACACTTGGCGTAAAAGCATTATTACACTTTTGACAACGAGACATCTTCTACCCTAAAGACAGTGACATACATCAAATGTGTGCTATTTCTCTGACTATAACATACCTACAAGTGTTTACAAATCATAAATGTATACACACTTGCTCGAGTAAGTGCTTTCAATACTATTTTTCTTTTCAAAGTAAAAAAAAAATTATACGAACATCTAGTGAAAGTCTTTAACTGGAGGCTTTACCACTACTGAAGCTTCTTAAGCATTTTCCTTAGATGGTAAGGAATTATTTCAGTTAATATTTTAATAGCTACAATGAGCACATTCTCATCACAGAATAAGTTGCAATGACATAAACACACCTTCAAGTTACAGTCACTTCGGGCAAAAAAAAAATGTGTTCTGTGATGACTATTACAAAATACATTGAATATTAGTGTTAGCGTTGCTCAGTAACACTGATTAGAAACATGATTGCTATCACAAGTAAGAATTATGTTCACCTGAAATAATAATTTTTGTATTTTTGGAGGGCTGAACTAATTAAAAGTAATGGCAAAAATCACTTTTTCACCAACCTAATACAATAAGAAAAGGATCAGAACCTAAAGTCCTTTTAACATCTTCAGCTGTGGATGAGCTTAATTAAGCAAAATGCTATGACATGTCCATAACCTAAAAAGTTAGAGGGCATTTTGAACAATTACTGTCCTTCCCCTTCCTATATCATTCTTTCAGCAGTTGCATCAATCCAAGCCTGTCAAAACTCAACATAAAAAGAAAAAAGGCAGTAACACTGACTGCAGATCATATTCTTATTTTAAAATCATTCTGCTTTGCACCTAGTATGTGCTCACTAAGCATTTACTGATTCGGTTATTCATTGTTCCACTGCCAGAACAAGAAGTTGTCTGTACTAACAAGTCAAATATTCAGGAAGCTAGAGGACAGACATGCAGCGGTCATGTGTGGGTGTGTCCAAGTGAGATAACCTTTTGTGCTTTTGTGCATGTTTTACAGATAGTGGATGGTAAGATGACCAATGCTCAGATTATTCTTCTCATTGACAATGCCAGGATGGCAGTGGATGACTTCAACCTCAAGTAAGTTCCTTCTTCACAGGGTTGTTCGGGTTTTTGTTTGTTTGCTTTACAAAAGGAAAACTCGGCGGGGCGCGGTGGCTCACACCTGTAATCCCAGCACTTTGGGAGGCCAAGGCGGGCGGATCACGAGGTCAAGAGATCGAGACCATCCTGGCCAACATGGTGAAACCCCATCTCTACTAAAAATACAAAAATTAGCTGGGCATGGTGGCACACGCCTGTAGTCCCAGCTACTCGGGAGGCTGAGGCAGGAGAATCACTTGAACCCAGGAGGTGGAGGTTGCAGTGAGCCAAGATCACGCCACTAACACTCCAGCCTGGCAACAGAGTGAGACTCCATCTCAAAAAAAAAAAAAAAAAGGAAAACTCATCTTGCCATTACCCGCATCTAAAATCTTATAATGAAAAGGCATAGCAACGGCAAATGCACTGTGTGTTACTTGAATGAACCTTAGTTTAAACAAATCAGATATAAAGCACATTATAGTATGGGGAAGTTTGAATATGAATCAAGAATTAGATGATATTAAAGGGTTGTTATTAATGTTTAGGTGTAGTGTTATGTTTATTTTATTTATTTATTTATTTATTTATTTATTTGTTTATTTTTGAGACGGAGTCTTGCTCTGTTGCCAGGCTGTAGTGTAGTGGCGTGATCTCGGCTCACTGCAACCTCTGCCTTCCAGGTTCAAGCGATTCTCCTGCCTCAGCCTCCCAAGTAGCTGGGACTATAGGTGCACACCACCATGCCCAGCTAATTTTTGCATTTTTAGTAGCAACAGGGTTTCACCATGTTGGCCAGGATGGTCTCAATCTCTTGGCCTCGTGATCCGCCCGCCTCAGCCTCCCAAAGTACTGGGATTACAGGTGTGAGCCACCGTGCCCGGCCTGTTTATTTTAAAATATATTTTTCTTAAAAGATGCATCCTGAAGTATTTAGTCTTAAAATGTCATCACATCTATAATCTGCTTTAAAATACTTCAGCAATGAAATAGATGAAGCAAATATGGCAAAACATTCATGGTTGCTAAATATAGATAATGGGTATATGACTGTTTATTATCCTATTCTCCCTACTCAATTTAAAAGTTGACATTGAGTCACCATCATGGAGAAGTGTAGCATGAAACTGGCATAAAAAAGACATCCTATATGTATTCATTTGCTCTCTTTAAACCTAAAAAGTAAAAGATTCACCTCTAAATGAAAATGAATCCTTTCAAAAACCATGGCCTTCCAACAATGAGTGCACTCTTCTCTTCCTTCTCACCAAAGGTATGAAAATGAACACTCCTTTAAGAAAGACTTGGAAATTGAAGTCGAGGGCCTCCGAAGGACCTTAGACAACCTGACCATTGTCACAACAGACCTAGAACAGGAGGTGGAAGGAATGAGGAAAGAGCTCATTCTCATGAAGAAGCACCATGAGCAGGTACAACTCCCCAGGAACACCTGCTAATAAGCACAGCTCTTAGCCTGCACATCTCAGGCTGATTCGACAGCTACAGAAGAAACCACCACCTGGATGCCAATCCCCTTGTCCTTCACCCTAAATAGTCTTTAGAAAAACATACAAATATCTAATGTTTCTAATTTCAAGGTTAGCTAGTCACATGTCAAATACAACAACCAAAATGCAATCATAATTAATGATGAATTGGTCAACAGTTTTGTTAATACACAATGTTTACCTAGATGTGCTTGTTAATGTTACTATAAGAATCAATGCGTGAGACTGGACTTCCATCACTGGCCCAATGTTCAGCAAGTTAGGGGACAATATAATGAAGAGAGTCTGCTACCAACCAAGATAAGTGTGATGTGGGGCAAAAATAAAGAATCCTAATTTCCAGAAGCATTTAACTGACTTTTAGAGTTACCATCCATCACAAGTCCTCAAGACTCTGATAAAATGATAGAAAAACAGTTCCCATTTTAGGAAAACAAAATTGCTTCTCAACATCAAAGAGCTCAGTTTCTGAATAGCTGGTTAGACAATGATTGTTAATTAAACCTTTCCTGTGGCTGCTTGGTTTTCATGAAATCCTATGGGCGTCAGCCCTACAGTGTCACAAGGCATTGATGAGATTTTGAAAGCCTCTACACCTTCTTTCTGCTGTTTGCCTCTTGAACTGCTTCCCAAAAGCTTTGGCCTATAGCCTGTAAGGTTCAGCTGCTTAACTATGTTGTCACTTCACCAATCCACATCTGCTGAACAGGACTTTGCACACTATGGAAGCATAATTCTTTCTGAAATATTTTCAACCACGGATCAAGTCAGTAATCATGGAGGCTATTTGATTACCTGCCTTATGATATTCTTTTTTTTTTTTTTTTTTTTTTTGGAGACAGGGTCTCACTCTGTCACCCAGGCTGGAGTGCAGTGGCGCAATCTCGGCTCACTGCAGCCTCCACCTCGCAGGTTCAAGCGATTCTCCTGCCTCAGCCTCCCAAGTAGCTGGGATTAAAGGTGTGTACAACCACACCCAGTTAATTTTTTGTATTTTTAGTAGAGACAGGGTTTCTCCATGCTGGTCAGGTTGGTCTCAAAGATATTCTTTATTTTATAAAATTATTAGAGAAAAAAGTATACAATGTTTTATCACCAACAAGTAAGTAATATTTGAGAAACCAAACCAGTGACAGTGGGAGCAACCACATAATCGGAATGTTTAAAAGATCTATTTACCACTGCCAATCAACATGGCAATCCAGCCTTCTGATTGTCAAAGCCGGTTCATTTCCTTTCTCTGTTATTAAATAGGAAATGGAGAAGCATCATGTGCCAAGTGACTTCAATGTCAATGTGAAGGTGGATACAGGTCCCAGGGAAGATCTGATTAAGGTCCTGGAGGATATGAGACAAGAATATGAGCTTATAATAAAGAAGAAGCATCGAGACTTGGACACTTGGTATAAAGAACAGGTAAAAGAAAGATGCACAAACTTCCCAAAGGTTGCATTTCCATGAGGTCCCAATGCTGACGCCTTTGCCTTGCTTGGTCCCACAGTCTGCAGCCATGTCCCAGGAGGCAGCCAGTCCAGCCACTGTGCAGAGCAGACAAGGTGACATCCACGAACTGAAGCGCACATTCCAGGCCCTGGAGATTGACCTGCAGACACAGTACAGCACGGTGAGTCAAGGCTAGGAAAACCGTGAATCCCACACCACCTCCTTCACGAAGCCTTCTGAGACCTCTCTCCCAGGCCCTGACCCTCAACTCCCTTGGGACAACTCTCACTTTCCACTTTCCATCCAAATTGTTTATGATGAGAACCATAATAAAGGGCTACCATGTATTGAGTGTCCCGATGGTGCCAGGCATTGTGCTAAGTAGTTCATGATATTAAATGTCATTAATCCTTACAGTAACCTTCCCAGATAGGTCTTAGTGTCCCCATTTTAGAGATGAGGAAACCAAAACTCCAACAGTAAAATAAATTGGCCAAGGTCACACAGCTAGTAAGTAACTGGTGATGAAACCATATGATTTATTTGGAGGAAGGGGGATTCTAGACCCCCATAATTTCTATCAGTGCCCTCTCCACTTACAACCAGGCTACCCCCCTCAAACCCCAATGTAGAGAAATTCCAGTGCCAACATGGTAGGTGGCAGATCCAGGCCTGGCTAACTCCAAAGCACTGCCCTATTCATTTATGTATATGTCTTATCACCCAGAAAACTCTAAGTTCTTGTGTCCAAGTCATTTCTATCATCTTCACAGTTTAGAAAAATGCTTAGCATGGTCATAAGCATTCAAAATTTATGAAGGTCTATCATTTGATTCCCAGTATACCCTATTGAGTCTTCTAATCATTCATCCATATAATTGCCAAGTGCGATTCTACCCTCAGTCTTGAGAGGCAATGATTTGTTCATTTATGTTGCAGGTGCACTTGGGTAAATGACTGCTGTGTTTTATGCATCCGTGATGGTGAACAGACACTGCAAATGTGCACGTAGAGATCATGAGTACAAAAATAATTATAGTGCAACTTTCAAAACGTTTTAACATACAGTATTTCACAATGGCCCTGTGAAACAGGCGAGGCATGTATACCCATTTTCATGCATTCTACTATCTGACACCAATCCTTAGCACTGAGGATTTTTTAATGAAGGAGTTTATATTCTAGTAGGAGTGACAGATAATAAATGTGCAAATCATCAAAATATATGTTAGATGGAGAAAATTGCTACAGAGATGAAGCAGAGGAGGAGGGCAGATGCACCAGGGTGAAGAGCTGCTATCTTAAACAAGGTGGTCAGGAAAGGTTTTCCTGTTAGAGTGGCAGTGAGCAAAGAGGTAAGGAGGTGCTTGATGTGGTGATGGGATGTGTTCCAAGAGGAGGGAACAGCAAGTGCAAAAGCGACAAGGCACAAGTGTGTCTGATGAGTTGGAGGAGCAGCAGGGAAGTCCATGTGGCTACAGTGAGTGAATGAAGGGAAGAAGAAAGGAGAGAAGAGGAGGGGAAGGGAGGGGAAGAGGGAGGAAGACAGGGTGAGGCCGCGGAGTCCCAACAGAACCAGACAGTGTAGGGCTTTGTAGGCTACCTTGGAGGGGTCTCAAGAGGAACAGCAGGCATAGACAACTCTTTGAGGAGCTTTGCTGTAGCTGAAGGAGAGCAGAGAAATTGGATGATAGCTGAAGGTAGATATGGGTTTAAGAAAGATATATTTTAAGGTAGGAAAAATTATTCTATTTGAAAGCTGGTGGGAATAATCCAGAGAGAATATTGATAACGCAAGAAGGCGGGCAACTGCCGAGATGACTGGAGCACAGACAGCTCACACAAAAGAACAGAGGGAAGCCAGCACCCAGATGCAGATTCAAGTATGTGCCTGGGAGCAATGTAGGGAGCAGTGGGCGGTCTCTCCCGATTGCTTTCATTTCATCAACAAAATTAGGAAGCGAGGCCATGGACTCCGAGGAAGGATGGCAAGGACAGAGGAGAGGGAACAAAATAACCTCCTGGGAGAGTAGGAGACTGGCTGACCAGGGAAATGTGCTTTAACCGCCAGGCAGCATGAACGGCCCCCTGAAAATTAGCAGCCACGATAAAGGGAGAGTATCCAGCACAGTTAGGAGATTCTCTTTAAGGTTAAAATTATGCGCTTCAGAAAAGCAGGTGTTACATGCAAACAGAACTGGGACTTGAACTCAATCCTCCATATTCTAGCCCAGAAACTTCATTTGGCAGCTGTTAGAATTTCCTCAAAAAATGACATTTTTTTTTTTTACCATCGTCATAATCAAAAAGCATTGCTTGAGACTAGGGTTGCCAGATTTACCAAATTAAAATATAGAATACTCAGTTTAGTTGGAATTTCAAATAAAAAGCAATTTTTTTTGCATGTCCCATGCAATACTGGAGCAATATTTTGGACATAGTTACACTAAAAAATTACTCATTACTCATCTGAAATTCAAATTTAACTAGATGTTCTCTATTTTATCTGGCATCCCTAATTGAGACCCTTCTCCGAAGATACAAAGAGATAGCAGTCCCAGTTGCTGTCGCTCTTTGGGAGTTTTCAATCAGGTCAAAGATAAAATGAAAGGAGTTAAACAACAGTTCAGAGCAAGGCAATGGACTTCAAAAGTCCTAACACTGCTCAACTCCTGACTGCCCAAGTCCCAAACCTGTAAGTCAGCCTACTTCTCATCTTGGTGTCCTCAGCAGCTACCAAGACACCTAGCCAACTGGTCGACATCTGCTAAGTACTCAACAATCACCTGTTATTGACTCAATCAAGCCATCAGTTAATTAACAGAAGATCATTTCCTCTTTCAGAAATCTGCTTTGGAAAACATGTTATCCGAGACCCAGTCTCGGTACTCCTGCAAGCTCCAGGACATGCAAGAGATCATCTCCCACTATGAGGAGGAACTGACGCAGCTACGCCATGAACTGGAGCGGCAGAACAATGAATACCAAGTGCTGCTGGGCATCAAAACCCACCTGGAGAAGGAAATCACCACGTACCGACGGCTCCTGGAGGGAGAGAGTGAAGGGTAAGGCAAAGGCTGGCACGAGAGGAGCATGCGAGGGACCTCCAGCTCCTGTGGGTATATGTGTGCATCTTTGGGTTCTGTTAGCAAGAGTCACTCTAGCAAGAGAAAAGTTGTGTTGAGCTACTCCAGAAGATACCTATAGCTGGCTGTATTTCACTAAGCAGCAAGTATAATTAATCAACTAATACTCACAGGACACTAAGATTTGCAGTCAGAAGAGTTAAAGTCTCTAGAAGGAAACAATTCAAAAGGATTTGGCCACTGTGTTTCCCAGTAGGAATGCACACAATTTTGGCTCCAAAAAAAAGAAGGCAGGGGGAATGTGTTAGTCCACCAGCAAAAGAGAAAAAAAAAAAAAGATGCATATGAGCTAGAGATGTCTAGACTTTCAATCTGATATTTCTGGCCACCCCAGGAAATAACAACAGCTGGCCATATAAAGGGCATATATATTCTATGATCCGAAAGGAAGGGATAGAAGTTTTATAAAAATACATAAATAAAACATCACTAGACCAAACTTTGAACAGCCTGAGAAGCTCAGGGGTCTCAGGCTTGAGACCCAGACCCTGGCAGGGATCCTAGAGAAAACCAAGCTTGCAGCTGAAAGGAGGGGATGGTTGGTGGACTTCCCCTGACTCCAGGGTTAGCAGGAGGCGGTACCCAATGCCTTCTGTATCCAGACGGGTTCTCCCGTGAACCCATGACCTTGAGACTACTAAGCTCAGACAATTATCCTCATTAAAGAGCAGAGGATTTACAAGCAAGCGAAGGAAGTTAGTTCATCCTGAGAAGTTGTTATGATTGTTGCTAATACTAAAGTGAGCTTTAACCTTTATCACTTTTATAGGACACGGGAAGAATCAAAGTCGAGCATGAAAGGTAAAAAATTTCCTTCATTGTTTGAATCTCTGTTTTTAAGGAATTAGCATGGTTATCCATTTTGTAGTAGTCATAATCCTTAATGTACTCCCAAATGTCCTGGGTTCAAAATGTCCTGGGTCAGGAATCTTCAATGAACAAATTAGCTAATACAAAATGATGTAAGCTCTCATTATTGTCCTCAATATAGGTAAAAGCAAGCAGTAAAGAAAATTAAAATGATAATTAATAGTATTATGTCTCTATTAAGTAATGGAGTCAGTTTACTAAACCCCTAGAAAACTAAGAGGCAATGATTTCATGATTTCATTTCTCAGATGATTCTGTTGAACACTCGTGTTCCATGAGATTTGAATAGTGTATTACGAACACTGTGTTCTATGGCCAGATAAGGTTAGAAATACTGTGTGCCATGATCCTCTTCTTGGACAGTCCTGTTGCAGTTCAGTGTATTAAAGATGGAACAGGTACTGCTTTGAAGGAGAAAAGGAACAAGAAAGAGGTAGAAACAACAAAAGTTTAACTTTGTTTAGCCCAGTATTCCCAAACATCTTTGACCTGGAAACATGCTTTCTCAGATTACCTTTAATATCTCACAGAAAAGTTGCAGGAGACTGTAGTCTGGGACAAGTGGCACTTTCTGATTAGTTTGTGATAAACCTATTCTAAGGCATTGGAGATTCAAAGAATCAGTTGGAGTAATCATCACAGGACAGCTGGTCTCACTGCTACCCATCTACAAAATAAGACAAGGGTCTTTGAGACTCTCTTCACACATGTCTTAGGATGGGGAACCCATACTTGATGGGATGGTCCCAATGGAGAGGTTTTAATTTAACAAAATTCTCCCTTGTAAATTTATTAATGATTTCAATTCTTCCCTATGGTCTAGAATTGCTTTATTGATGTTTCAACAGGCACTTATTCAAATAAGTTATATATTTGAAAACAGCCATGGTAAGCATCCTTGGCTTCTCACCCATTCCTCATGTGGCATGCTTTCTAGACTTTAAAATGAGGTACCCTGAATAGCACTAAGTGCTCTGTAAGCTCAAGGAATCTGTGCAGTGCTACAAAGCCCACAGGCAGAGAAAGAACTCCTCAAGTGCTTGTGGTCAGAGACTAGGTTCCATATGAGGCACACCTATGATGAAGGTCTTCACCTCCAGAAGGTGACACTGTTCAGAGATCCTCATTTCCTGGAGAGTGGGAGAAAATCCCTCCTTTGGGAAATCCCTTTTCCCAGCAGCAGAGCCCACCTCATTGCTTAGTGATCATTTGGAAGGCACTGAGAGCCTTCAGGGGCTGACAGCAGAGAAATGAAAATGAGTACAGTTCAGATGGTGGAAGAAGCATGGCAGTGACATCTTCCATGCTCTTTTTCTCAGTGTCTGCAACTCCAAAGATCAAGGCCATAACCCAGGAGACCATCAACGGAAGATTAGTTCTTTGTCAAGTGAATGAAATCCAAAAGCACGCATGAGACCAATGAAAGTTTCCGCCTGTTGTAAAATCTATTTTCCCCCAAGGAAAGTCCTTGCACAGACACCAGTGAGTGAGTTCTAAAAGATACCCTTGGAATTATCAGACTCAGAAACTTTTATTTTTTTTTTCTGTAACAGTCTCACCAGACTTCTCATAATGCTCTTAATATATTGCACTTTTCTAATCAAAGTGCGAGTTTATGAGGGTAAAGCTCTACTTTCCTACTGCAGCCTTCAGATTCTCATCATTTTGCATCTATTTTGTAGCCAATAAAACTCCGCACTAGCTGCATCGTGTCTTTTTTTAATATCATAAGGCAAGACAGCACCTCAGGGTTTCATCCTAACAAGGGGTTCTCAGAACATCGTCCATGGAAGATCCAGAGAAATCTCCAGACATCAGACATGTTCACGGCAGCCAGACACTGGGCAGAATTGTCACCCTGTAGCCAGGCAACCTAGGCATGAGTCATGGGTCATGAGGCTCTCCACAATCCACACTTCTGCCAGTAGGAAGGGAAGGGAGGAAACAGAGAAAGGGAGGCCCAGAAAGCCTCACTGGGAGTGTGAGATGACCAAAAAGTATGCTATCTCACTTTTAAAAAGGAAAAAAGCTGAAAGGCCTAAAAGAGTAACTCTCTTTTAGGCTACTCTAAGCTAGAAAAGGAGATTAAGGGAAAAAAATTCTCATTACAGACAGATACTATGGCTCTAAAAGGGGAAGTAACTCATCCAAAATTCAAATTGCAAATACTAGGATCCAGAGTATCATGCCATATTAGTCTGTTCTCATGCTCGGGTATAAAGACATACCCGAGACTGGGTAATTTATAAAGGAATGAGGTTTAATTGACTCACATGTGGACATGGCTGGGGAGGCCTCACAATCATGATGGAGGGCAAAGGGGAAGCAAGACACGTCTTACATGGCAGCAGGCAAGAGTGCTTGTGCAGGGGAACTCCTCTTTATAAAACCATCAGATCTCGGCCAGGCACAGTGGCTCACGCCTGTAATCCCAGCACTTTGGGAGGCCGAGGTGGGTGGATCACCTGAGGTCAGGAGTTCGAGACCAGCCTGGCCAATATGGTGAAACCCCGTCTCTACTAAAATCGAAAAATTAGCTGGGCATGGTGGTGGGTGCTTGTAATGCCAGCTACCTGGGAGGCTGAGACAGGAGAATTGCTTGAACCCAGGAGGCTTAGGTTGCAGTGAGCCAAGATCGCACCACTGCACTCCAGCCTGGGTGACAAGAGTGAGACTCTGTCTCAAAAAAAAAAAAAAAAAAAAAAAAACATCAGATCTTGTGAGACTTATTCACTATCAGGAGACCAGCACACGGGAAAGACCCTCATGATTCAATTACCTCCCACCAGGTCCCTCCCACAACACATAGGAATTATGGGAGCTGCAATTCAAGATGACAATTGGGTGGGGACACAGCAAAACCACATCACATGCTGAGCTGTAGCAGGTGAATAAACCACTGAGACTACGAACCTCTGTCCTCTGAAGAAGATGCCATTTTCTCAAATTCTAGGAGTGTGGGCCACTGTTCTGAGGTTGCTGCAGAGGAGCACTGCTGGAGAAAAGGAAGGGGGAAATCCACATATCCACTAAGACATCGTCAGAATACTGCACATGGAATTATAGGATATTAACAATTTAAGAGACTGTAGACACAGGATAGTCAAAATCTCCCATTTTACAGACAAATCAACAGAGGCCCAGAGCAGTGAAGGCATTTACCCAGACACTCACTGGATCGGTGCAGCTGGATCTAGATCCAGGTCTCTTGACTCATTTAACAGCTGTTAAACCAAAAATGGGTGTGATTTAGTCCCATTGTCATCTGATACATTGGCAATGCCCTGCATATTTTTTTGTCTCTATGTTTAATACTCCTTTGTAAAGGGTAGCTTTTGATATTTCCTGAACTGAGCATCTGTTAAAATTGGATTCATCTTCCCTTTAAGGCAACAATTGGTGTTTCTGATCTTTAATGCCAAAAAAAAAAAAAAAGAAAAGAAAAAGAAAAAAGAAAAAAAATAAAAACAGAATAACCACACCCTAGCAAAAGTGTACTATTGGTTTAACTAAATACATTAACTCTCTGATGTAAAATTAATAATTTATCTTTACTATTTCAAAGAGACTCAAAAATAACCAGTACACAAACATCTTCACTAAGTTTTCTTTGTGCAGCATTTGTATGTGGTGACTTTTTTTTTTGAGACGGAGTCTTGCTCTATCACCCAAGCTGGAGTGCAATGGTGCCATCTCAGTTCACTGCAACCTCCGCCTTTCGGGCTGAAGCAATTCTACTGCCTCAGCCTCCCAAGTAGGTGGGATTACAGGCGCCCACCACTGTGCGCATCTAATTTTTGTATTTTTTAGTAGAGACCGGGTTTCACCATGTTGGTCAGGCTGGTCTCGCACTCCTGACTTCAGGTGATCCACCCACCTGGGCCTCCCAAAGTGCTGGGATTACAGGCGTCAGCCACCACACCTGGCCGTATATGGTGACTTTTGTTGTTATTTGGGTCAAGAATGGATTCATATTAGACTTTATTAGGTTCTCTTTTTCTATTTCATTTTACTAAGAGAACTTCTTTATGTTACTAGTTATTATAGTCTCCAAGCAGATCTAAAAATGATTTTTTTTCTCTATTTTAGCACCAACTAATTCTGCTGTTTTGGACATTATCTGTTTCCTGAAATCTAGAAAATGTGCATAAAATATGCTATTTTTCTCAAGGTGAATTTTTTAATACTGCTAGAAAAATATTTTGAGGAATATCTAAAAATAATATGACAAGCTGAAAAGAAAGTTGTAATACCAAATCCAGAAAACAATCACAAACCTTCCATTTACAATCATAGTTTATATATGATTTGGTAATGTAAATCATAACATATGAATAATTTTTCATGCAAGGACCTAAAATATCTTTAAAGTCTTATTAATTTTCGCTGTATCAATTAAGGTGACCAATTCATCCCAGTGTGCCCAGAAACTCATTAGTCCCAGGCAAACTGGGGTGGCTGATCACCCTATCAATAAATTGCCTCTGTTTCACTAAGGAGAGGAAAGAAGAGAGAAATGAAACCATTTGCCTGAATAAAGAGACAATTGCATGATTTTGGGCTCTAGGTAACACAGAATAATCTTCCCCCACACTTAAATCAGCGTAAAAATGTTTCAAAATGCCCATTACAAACCAATTAATGCCTATGCATTCAGGTGAATTACCAACCAAAGAAGATTTTGTTTGTATTTGAATTTGACCAACATACACCCAACCCACATAAAGGAGGTGGCAATAAGTTCTATTGTTTTCATTCCAGAAACACTTTGAATAAATAGCAATTATCATTCTATAACCCAAAATCCAACTAAACAAACCGATGGCTAATCCGGAGAAGTATAATGTATCACTTTGGAATTTAGGATTTATGTTAACATATTTGCCCACAGTGTCATAAAATGGTGGAGTGGATAGATAGATCCATCTAATACTGTTAATCCAATCAAATGCACACCTTTATAGACTCATGTCTTCACTATTATTTTTACACACCTACCCTGCTGATGATGTGTAAATCGGGAACTAAACATAAAAATTCATTATTAAAGGAATGTAGCAACAGTATGTGGAGGGAAGAGGTCATAAAGTCTAGCAAGGAGTAAGGACTCGAATTCTGGCAGCAAAAGGTGGGGAACAGAAGGAGACCCGAGGACGTTTCTTTAGTGCAGGGGTTCTCAAACTTGGCTCACATCAGGATCACCTGGAGGGGGTGAGAAAATTCTAATGCCAGGCCACACTCTAGAATAATTAAATCAAGACTTTTGGCCGGGCATGATGGCTCACGCCTGTAATCCCAACACTTTGGGAGGCTGAAGTGGGCGGATCACTTGAGATCAGGAGCATGAGACCAGCCTGGCCAATATGAAACCCCATCTCCACCAAAAATACAAAAATTACCCGGTGTGGTGGTGGGCATCTGTAATCCCAGCTACTCAGGAGGCTGAGGCATGAAACTCACTTAAACCCAGGAGGCAGAGGTTGCAGTGAGCCGCGACTGCAAGATTGTGCCACTGCACTCTAGCCTGAGCAACAGAGCCAGACTCTGTATTAAAAAAAAAAAAAAAAAAAAAAAAAAAGTACTTGTGGAGGTTGGGACCCAGCCATCAATTTGTTTTAAAGAGTCCCAAATAATTATAATGTACAGCCAAGTTTGTGAACTTACACTGGTACCTTCAGATGAGTGCTTTTTTGATCTGTTTGTATGTTTCCCATATTACTAATTTTTCAATACTCCCAACAGGAATTAATGACAACTAATGAAAAAAAAAGGACGTAATCCCCAAGCACTAGTGATTAGAGTTTCATTTTACAGAATTGTAGAGAACTGCTTCCAGGAAATACAGCTGAATTAAAACTTAGAATTGAGACAAATACTTCACTTACAAAAGTATTTTAGTGGCCAGGCACAGTGGCACGCACCTGCGGTCCCAGCACTTTGGGAGGCTGAGGCAGGAGGTTCACTTGAGGCCAGGAGTTTGAGACTAGCCTAGGCAACATAATGAGACTTCGTCTATATAAAAAGTTTAAAAATTCACCAGTGCAGAGGCTTGCACCTGTGGTCCCAGCTACTCGGGAGCCAAGGCAGGAGGATGTCTTGAGCCCAGGAGTTCCAGGCTGCAGTGAGTTTTGATCACAACACCATACTTCAGCTGAGCAACACAGCAAGATCTGTCTGGAAAAAAAAGACAAGGAAATCAGAAAAGTATTTTACAAAATTCTGCAAGCATACTTCCACCTAAGTCTAGCAAAATTCTTCCAGGTACTTAATCAAATATTTTTCCAAAGTGTTAGGTTCCTGTAGTAAGTTTCTCTTATGGAAATTTGTGTGTTATTTTAGACTCCTCATTTCTTTTACCTCTTAGATTTTTGTCAAAGCAAAGTAAAATAGTAATGTATGCAAATAAGAGACCCATCAAGAAAACATCTCTAAGCCAAGTGACTAAAAAATTAATTTAAGGAATAAAGAAGCAATTTTTTTCCTTAAAGAAATATCAGATTATTTTAGTATTTCCCAAATGCACATTTTATATTTCTCTAAATAGTTAATTAGGGCATTACATGTAATTTGAAATCAAAAATATCAGCATTAAAAGTAAACATAGAAATCAACTGATTGAAACTTCTTATGTGAGAGATAAGGAATCAAAAGACTAGAAAAGTTATCCAAGCCCTCCTGGGACTCAGGTCTCATTCCTATCCATTCCAGCATCTTCAACATATAAAAACATCAGAATTGAAGAAAACATACCATATTTTTTAATTCATAGCAAATTAAAAATAACAATTATAAATGTATGAACTACTGAAAAGCCAAAATAACTTATGCACTCTCTAAGCTGGAACCAATATGAAAAAATGTCCATAATTATAAGAAAAAAGTAAGCCAGAGGTATGTACGAAAGATTAGATTTTTCTTTACAGATAGCTGTAAGTGGGTTACTTAACACAGACTACATTTAGATATTTAGTGCTAAGAAGAGACTTCTTCTTCTCCTTTTCCTTTTTTTTTTTTTTTTTTTTAAACAGGGCCTCCCTCATTCTGTCACCCAGGCTGGAGGGCAGGGGCATGATCTCAGCTCACTGCAGCCTCAACCTTGCAGGCTCAAGCCATCTTCCCACCTCACCCTCCCAAGTAGCTATGACTACAGACACACACCATCATGCCTGGCTAATTTTTGTATTTTTTGTAGAGACAGGGTTTCGCCATGTTGCCTAGGCTGGTCTTGAACTCCTGGGCTCAAGTGACCCACCCACCTTGGCTTCCCAAAGTGCTGGGATTACAGGCATGAGCCACCACACTCGGCCTAGCTTAGAGATTTTGAATAGTTTACTTTGTGTGAAATAATATAGCGTGCCATTTCTTTGGGATAAAATAACATATTTCTAAGCATACCCTTCATGGACATGAAGCAATTTGTACCATAGTTTCACATATACCTATTTGGTCTTGCACAACAGAAAACAGATAGTAAATAATATCATTATTTATAATGGTAAATTTAAAAATTTATAAATGTGCATTTAAATTTCTCATTTAAATAATGGTTTTATTTTCTGGGTATGCTGTACATATTGGTGGCCCCAATGCATCCATGCCTCCAGCAGTCAGGCCTTTCTCTACTGCCTCCCACATTGACGCTGGGCTTGGTCATGAGACTTGATTTGGCCAATGGAACATCAACAAGCTTGACACAAGCAGAGGCTTACTAAATGCTTTCACATTGGGAGTTATTCTCTTGGAATGCCCTATAGGCAGCCAGCTACCATGTGAGAAGTTCAATTACCCTGAGACACCATACTGTGAGGAAGTCTAAGCTAGCCTCTTGGAGAGCCCACACCAAGGAAAGCTGAGGAATCCAGGCAACAGCCATAACTGAAGCTCCAGGCAACAGCTGTAACTGAGGCTCCAGGCATATGACTGAGTCAAGCCATTCCAGCCAGTTTCCAGCCATTCAAGACAATGCCACTGCCCCCAGGCATCACAGAGCAGAGACAGGCCATCCCTGCTATTCTGAATCCAAAATTCTGTCCCACAAAATAATTGTGAACAAATACAATGGTGGTTGTTTTAAGCCAGTGAGTTTTGGGGTCATTTTTCATGCCGCAATAGGCAAGTGAAACAGAGTATTTTAAACAGAAGACTCTGTTATTTGCTCAGTGACAATAGCTGATTTAAGGCGAACTAGTTCATTTGCATCCCACCAAACTTTTGACCAGCATACTAGTCATTTTAACACTGACATGGACCTCTAATGAAAGTCCTGGTCTAATAACAATAGATGACATCAAAACTTTCAAGAGAAAAGCAAAGGTCTACCCTCTTCAGAGATGGTAAAGAGTAAAGCCATTGCACATGATGTTCACAGCTCTCCTCTCTGCTCCTTCCCAAGTGGGACCAAGCAGTGTAGCTCCAACCTGAAGTCAGGGCATCCCCTGCTCCTCACTTAAGCATGCTGGGATGCCCAAGGAAATTCTTTTTCTTCTCGTTGAGTTTCAATTCCTTTTGACTCTCTTTTAGTTCCTCATTCCAGGGACATTAACAATTTCTCTACAAATATTTATGCCTCCAATACCACACAAACCAACAGTTTCACTGAAAGGAGATCTCTTTTCAACATAGTTAAGCAATGTTCTCCCTCACCAAGAAACTATAAGTCATTTACAAATTAAGGTGATCATAATTATTACGTAGCTTCTAGTCATAATATTTAAAAGTCATTAAGAGTATAATTCATTTATTCTAGCCATGATTATTCACAATGCTATACTCTAAATGCTATACTTTTCTACAGCTTTTAATCAATAAATACTTTTCAGATTTTTGGTGTTTACATATCACCTGAAGTATTTTGTTGGTTATTTCCCTATGGTAACAACATTGGTTTTCCGAATGACTATAGGCCTACTTTCATTCCCATGTGTGACTCATTCCCATCTCATCTATTCTATTACAACATCTACGTGTCACCATCTCTCTGAAGAGAGTTAGAGAGTTTCTAAAATATACTGGAGGTGAGATCATGCAAAAAGGAAAAGACAGTGCTTCTCACATACCTAACGATCTGATGATCTAATCATACTCAGAAGTTTTACCTTGAACTTTGTGTGTGTGTGTAACTATTTCAGTACATGGGTTGTCCTACTCACCCAAACTTCCCATTGAAATTTAAATGGGAATTCATCTAATAAAATTATGAGTCATCTAATAGAAACTACAAGTCAATTTTTGCTAATTCCATGGTATGCATACGCAGCATAGCATGTATGCATTGACATACACACACATGTACCAGAAGTTTTTTAAATAACAACTATCCTTGACTGAGCTTTACATTCACAATCTCATTTAACATTTATCAAAACCTTGTGGCATATCATTATCTTTATTTTATGATTGGGGAAACTGAGGCTCAAATGGACTGCATTAACTTGCCTGTGGTCATACAGCTATAAAATGGTGGAAACAGAATTTGTACCCAGTATATTTACTCTTTGTGCCACACAAGTCAAAAGTGCTTGCTAGAGAGTTATGTAAAATCTGAATATGGGCAACACATTTTGATGAGCCCTTGCTGATGGCTTTTATCTAAGGTAAGAGCCCAGGTATGAGAAATCTGGATTTTCTATTTGAAAATCAGAACTCATATTTTTCAGAGGCAATTGGTAGTTTGACATCATTTACCTGGATCTTGTTCTGACAAGATCCATGAGTCAGAAATAGACACTCAGGACCAGAGGACAGGTTTTTATAACCAAAAGCTACCTTCTCATTAATCAAACCTCAAAGCATCCACTGCTTTCATACAGAGGTGTGTTCTTAACTTGTTTTAGCCTAAAACGAATCAGCATCAGGGACGATGATTGCTTCCCTGAGAGAGTTTAGCAAGTTCCAAACCTGGAGGACCTCAGACCCCAACCTGTCCAGTTAGACTCCACACTCACTCCTGTTTTCTATCAAAATTTTCTTTCCCCACACACTCACAGAATATGATAGGACAAGAAAGACAAAGACAGGGTAGTAATAATGGACAGGCCACAGATACACCCAATACCATCAACAGTCATCAGCTGAGAATATTTTATCCAGAGATTCATCACAAAAAAAATATTGTGAAAATGTTCATGTATCATCCCCAGCACCCTAGGAAGCAGTAGTTTCAGGTCACCACCCAGTCCCAAGCCTTATATGTCAGTGCTTCCGAAATCTTAATGTGCATACTTATCATATGGGGATCTTGTTAAAATGCAGATTCTGATCTAATTGTTCTGGGTTGAGGCCCAAGATTTTGGACATCTAACAAGCTCCCAGAGGATGCTAAGGCTGCTGATCCACGAGTCGCAAGATTATGGGTGATTTTGATCAATTAGCAATTCGATGCATTCCCCACAGTGAGTGTCGTGTCTATAAACCAGTCTCAATAGGTCCTCTATCAACTGAACAGGATAAACAACACAGCAGGAAAGGTGGCATCGTTAGAATCCCACTAGCACAGTCTTGCTCCAAGCAAGCTAAACCTGCAAGAGCACTAAGTCAGGCCTGGAAGGAAGATGTTTCTTAGGTTCTCACCAAGAACAGAAGACAGAATGAAGTCTAGAAATTAAGATCGATCACTTTGTCCCAAATTTTTCCTGGACTCCATGCGTAGTAAAAGCTATGAGAGGTTCACAAATCAGATTCACAGGAGAGGATGGAAAACACTTGTCCAGGATTGTCTATTGTGTTAGCTAACTAGCACTAAAAAATATACGTCTATATTTATGTATAAGTGAGTATTCACTTATAAAAATCTTTCTAAATTCTCTTCAAGGGCCATTTCTTTCTTCAGTGAACCAAATGATGGCTGAAGTTTTAAGAATAAAAACAACAGCCAGACGCAGTGGCTCATGCCTGTAATCCCAGCACTTTGGGAGGCCGAGGCGGGTGGATCACGAGGTCAGGAGATGGAGACCATCCAGGCTAACCCGGTGAAACCCCGTCTCTACTAAAAATACAAAAAATTAGCCAGGCATGGTGGCGGGTGCCTGTAGTCCCAGCTATTCGGGAGGCTGAGGCAGGAGAGTGGCGTGAACCCGGGAGGCGGAGCTTGCAGTGAGCCGAGATTGCGCCACTGCACTCCAGCCTGGGCGACAGAGAGAGACTCCATCTGAAAAAAAAAAAATAATAAAAAAAAATAAACAACAATAACTCTAACTGTGAAATTGCGTCCTATTCCATACTAAATTAAATCAGCTTAGACAGGCTGCTTTCATTTGTGTTATGGATGTCATTATTCTTTGTTTTCAAGAAATTTGTATTGGAATGAATGGAGTTGGAATAAAGAACCAGTGAAGAAGTGGTCATTAAATACCTGCTTCCTGCCTACTGCGGTGTGAGTCACTATTAGGAAGACAAAATAAGGAAGCTAGAACTTTAGGGAAGGAAATTACAATATACAAAAGAGTCCCTTTGCCCAACTGCAATTCCTGTCACCCATAATCATGGTAAATAATCCTAATAATTATTACCCTTGCTTGTATCATGATAAGGAAATTGATTTGAACTGGGAAACAGAAAACATGTCTCTTCAGTAAAGCTCTTTCCACCCTCCCACACTCAACAAAAGCTTCATAAAGCCACCCGTAACTCTTATGCCCCGTTCCACCGAGTCAACTCCTGTGACTGGCCTCACACCCTTCTCAAGTATCCAAGGCCTTCCCCGGTATGGTCTCAGCTTGTTTTTCCAGAGGGCGGCCGTCATTACCTGAATGGCAGGTTTGCTACGCAAGCGCCTTAATGTGGGGCTTTGTAGACATCACACCTGGGCCGTCATTAGTGTCGTCTGAAAATAATAATCAGCCAGCAGACCAAAGAAGGGCATTCCAAGAAAATTCACTACTACCAGTGTTTGGGGAAACCAGGGAATATCTAATTTACGTATTTATAGTTAATCAAAGAAAGGGCTAACTTACACACATCACACAAGGATAAGTCACCCCAACGTTTATTTATAACTACACCTGGCTACAGTGCTAAGAGTTGGGGGAGGCTGCGCACTTGTAGTTGGCAGCCCTGAGGAAGGAGGTAGCATCTCTAATCATTCCCAAATGGACAGGAGGCTGAGCCAGTGGTAGGAGAGCTTACTGTGGGAACATGGCTTTTTATATTTCTCTCTCAGTCTCCTATTCTCCTCCTACAATGTTAGGTGCTTGGAAGTTTCCAGAAGAGGCCTTTCTACAGGAGACAAGGCATTCTCTGTCTCTCTCCTCTGTCCACACCTCAAGTGTGGATCCACCAAAGGTCAATAGGGCCCTAGGGAGGAGATGACAGCATGCAAGACTGCCCTCTTCCACCCATCCACACTGTCTCTCAGTCAGCCAGATATCAGAGTGGCCAAGACCAGGCTCTGTCTTAGACCACACTGTGGCTGTCTTAGCACAGCAGATATCCACAGCCGGACCCTCCCCATCACATGAAGCAGAAGGAAGAAATAAGTCCCCTTGTGACAAGCACTTGCCTGCTATATGTTTTTACAGCAAACAAAGGTTAAAACTACATCCTTCAGAGAGGAACCACTGAGTCTTCAGGCGACTGGAGAAGGGGAGCTGGGAGCCTGCACCTCTGAGCAAGCCAGAGACCCATGCTAGGGGGTCAGAGATTGAGCAGGCTGGGCAAGAGGAACCCAGACCCCTGCAGGTAGGGATCATGGTGGGTAGAGTCTGGGGCTGGGAATTCAAGGCTTTGATCTATTTCCAGTATCTTTGTCTTCATAGTATCTGATCCTCCCCGTTTTGCCCCACCAGACGTGAGTAAGGAGGAGAATTCATAGCCAACTCCAATAATTCTTTATAATAAAACTTTATAAGTGGTATCTGCTACTCTTTATTTATTTATTTATTTGTTTGTTTGAGACAGAGTTTCGCTCTGTCGCCAGGCTGGAGTGCAGTGTCACGATCTCGGCTCGCTGCAACCTCTGCCTCCCAGGTTCAAGCAATTCTCCTGCCTCAGCCTCCCGAGTAGCTGGGACTACAGGCACATGACACCATGCCTAGCTAATTTTTGTATCTTTAGTAGAGACGGGGTTTCACCACGTAGGCCAGGATGGTCTCGATCTCTTGACCCCGTGATCCGCCCGCCTCGGCCTCCCAAAGTGTTGGGATTACAGCCGTGAAACGTCGCGCCCCGCCTGTGCTACTCTTAAAGGATCCAAAGGATATCTAGAAGGGATTCACGTGCTCGTTTGGGTCCCACAGTACATCGAGGTTTGGGAGCCTCTCAGATATTTGCTTCCTGTCCTCAATTTTGTTTGGGTGCCTCCAGTAACCTCTGATATTTATATAAAACTATCTCACTGTAAAAGGGGCAAAGACCTAGTCTTCTGCCTCCAGGGCTTCTCCTGTGGTCATTTCTCATGTCCTCGCCATTGTGTCAGCCCCAGCTAAATGTTTCTTCTACAGGAGGAAAGGGAGCATGTAACCTCTTGCTCTCAAAAATGGAGAGGGGAAGAAAAAGTTTAAGATGGGTAAAGAGAGACTAAAACTGCAGGCAGCCGTCTTGTTTTCTCAGTCTCCCCTAAACCCACTCCAAGCTGGACGAAACCATCTGTTCACAGAAAAAGTACAAAGGAAAGAAGGGTTTGAGAATGTCAGGTAGTAGACAAAAAAGTTTCAGTTCCTACCCTTACAATGATCCCTTCTCTAAGAGCTGGCTCCCTTTACAAGACAACTCGTCAGAGTTTATTTCTGTACTGGCATTTATGTCTTCAAGGCATCCAAGTATCTTGTGGATCTTTCAACAGATCAAAAGGCAGAAAGAAAAATGTTCTTGGATCAACTCCTAGAAAAATCTGAAACCAGATTTTCCTGAGATATTTCAGGCCAGTCAGTGCCTGTCAGCTTTATACTGTGGCATCTTTCTTTTCAAATATGGATTAAACCCTGCGATGAATGAAAAGATTAAAAGCTCATCATTCCAGCAGCCTTAGTTTCTAAATTGTTGTGCTATCTCCTTAAAAACTTCTGTGCATTTGTATCACGCTGTCTGCTCTTCGGGGCCACTGCTTGTGTTGCAGGGAAGACACAAAGCATGAGAGTTCCGAGCAGTGGGCAAAGATGCTTGTCAAGAGTGTTATAAGGGGGACCAGGCATTGGGAAAGGAGTTGAACCTGAGGGACTTTCAGATTCGATTATTTTCCTCTTAATCGGAGAAGAGTTTGAGTTTATAAACAACATAAAATAACAGATATATGGAAGATACTGACGTTTTGGAGGGCTATCAATAAGATAGGGCGTGGCCAAATTACAAATAAAGTTTATTAGGACACAGTCATGAACGTTTGTTTGCATATTGTCTACAGCTGCTCTTGCACAAGGACAGCAGAGTTGAGTAGTTGCAACAGTCTCTCCAGCCCACACAGCCTAAATATTTATGACCTGGCCTCTACAGAAAAGAAAAAAAAAAAGTCCATCCCGTACTATAGATATTAGAGCAGGAGAAAATGAGTTGAAATTACAGCAGAACAGTCAGGCCTATCTCTGTCAATATCTCTGACAATTGAAGGGGGCAGGCTATTAAATCTAAAGTTGAGAGGGCCTTGGCCCCTTCGCATGCTATTAAAGATGACTGTGGGTCATTTCAAAAACACCTGGATGGTTTAGAATAGGTGCAATCATTTAAAAGATTGAAAAGCATCTGCTTTTCCCCCAGGTAATTCATGTTTAGGGAACAAGTTAAAAATAGAAGATATATTTTGCTTTTCACTTTTAAAATTGTATAGCTTCCCAAATATTTTTCAAGATAATTGGTCAGCTGTTGCTCACTCAGAAGTAATGCTGTTCTTGGTAAAATGCCAATTTGAACAGAGAAAGAAGGATGGTAATGGTGACTCACAAACCAGTTTCACCCGGAGCCTGGGAGAGGGTGCTGCGGCCTTTTGGAATAGGAAGGCCACGAACACCCCCTGCTGGCTATAGGGCAACATAAACCCGAACTCATCCTTTTTCCTGATCCAAGGCTCGGGTTGGACAAAGATCAACCATACAAGTCCTGTGATGGAATCAAGGAATATCAAACATTCATAATTCATGCCCAAGGGATGGTAGCATCTTGAAATTCAAGTAGTTTGTGTTACATGTACAGCAGCAAAGAACCACTACTAAAACAAGAGATAACCAGGTTTTCAATTATCTCCCTTAAACCTCCTAACCCCATTTAAAAAAAAGTTTTACACTACAGCCTTCTACATCTCATTAAACACAATTCCTGTAACAATGAAAAAAGAACTTTCTTCATCGTTTGAAACAGATCCTAGCCAAGGGTCTTGTTCAAAATAGTTTTAATCATATGAAATTGCCAGGATCCTACTCTGCTGACCCCTACAAAAGGCAACCTGAATAGAATTAGTCGGTCGACAATTGACAAAGATATGCAGGAGAGCCTGCAGCTGTGATGAGGCTGCCCTCCTTGACTGATGGACACAGGGATTGTAGGCTAGGGACTCAGGACACAGCCCTCTGTCCTCACAATTTTCCTGAGCCTCCTCTGAATTCCTCTGACTGATGAAAATAGAGGCTGGGATTTCAAGTATCTTTTTCTCATTTAGGCAACCCTGCTCCACATGATACATAAAAATTTTTAATTAAGCTGTTTTTTTTTTTCCTTTTTAACACCAGTGTCCCAATAAAGAAGCTTCAGGAAAGGGGAAATGTTAAAATCGTGATCCTGTCATTGCCTCACTCTCTGAGGCTCTAAGAACAGGAATGTTTGCTAATAGATGGAGGAAAGGCCCTGTTGACTGTAACTGTGGGACTGCATGGGGATTATGCTACACAGAGCAGTGGAAGTTGAGGACTGAGGCTGGGATAGATGCAGACTGTGTCAAAAAAAACAAAAAAAAAACAAGCATTAAGAGGTCAGGGACTTCTGACTTGAAATCACAAGGGTCTGAGAAGCAAAAACATTTTAAAAGGTAAGAATACTAAGCAAATTAACATGTGGACTGGTGCATGTATCTAAATTTTGCAATAAAATCAATGTGAACCTGGGTTTCATGACCACAGTGGCCCAAATAATAAGCCCTTCTGTTGGCCCATTTTTCAGAGGAGTGTCACCCACACACACATGAGTTATAGGAAGAGTCTGAAGTCAAATAACAATTAAAGAAAAAGGGTAGGACAGCAACTCAGTCCCACAATTGTCTTTTTAAAATTAGGCAGAAATTTAAAAGCAAATTCTAAGTAGACTAATTTGAAGGATAAAGCGAGGAGAAAGTATGGGTGCCCATACCCTGAGCTCATCAAATACTTTGATCTATTTCTTAAAATGCCCATGAGGACTTAAGGCAATGGACTCTAACTTAAAAACACAAAGAACTATGGCATCTGATTTTTCAGACTTGAAAACACTGTGACCCAATTCCATCCTCCAGGATATGAACACAGCACGCTTTATAATTCAGTAATAGCCTGAATTATATCCTTAGCCTACAACATTACGTCTCCCAGGAGATTCCAATATGCAGTTTAAGGATGAGGACCACTGGCTGAAAGGTTTCTTTTGAATCTAATTATAATTCAATATAAAACTGGGGATAGAGGCTGGGCACAGTGGCTCACACCTGTAATCCCAGCACTTTGGGAGGCTGAGGCGGGCAGGTCACGATGTCAGGAGATCGAGACCATCCTGGCTAACACGGTGAAACCCCATCTCTACTAAAAATACAAAAAATTAGCCAGGTCTGGTGGTGGGCGCCTGTAGTCGCAGCTACTCGGGAGGCTGAGGCAGGAGAATGGCGTGAACCCGGGAGGTGGAGCTTGCAGTGAGCCAAGATTGCACCACTGCACTCCAGCCTGGGGGACAAGAGTGAGACTCTGCCTCAAAAAAAAAAAAAAAAAGAAAAGAAAAGAAAAGAAAACTAGGGATGGAAAGAAAGGAATGAAAGAGGGAAGGAAGGAAAACAGGAAAGGAAAGGAAAGAAAAAAGAAAAGAAAAGGGAAGGGAGACAGAGAGGGAGGGGGGAAGGAAGAATAAAGAAAGAGAGAGAGAGAAAGAAAGAAAGAGAAAGGCAAGCAGGGAGGGAGGGAGGGAGGGAGGAAGGAAGGAAGGAAGGAAGGAAGGAAGGAAGGAAGGAAGGAAGGAAGGAAAGGAGGGAGGGAGGGAAGGAGCTCTACAGCCACACAGCATATCCATCCGTTACAGGAGCAAATAAGAAAGTCAATCTTCCAGCAGAGGAAGCCAGAGCTAAATAAACACTTTAAATGTCATGAAATAAGACTTCAGAGCCCAAATGTTCCATTTTCTATTCAATAATACTATTTCCTTAAAGGTCTTGGTAACAGAGTTACCCCACGTATCTTGACCCCATATCCTGTGTTCATTCCCAGAACAAAGCTGACATGAATGATTCTTGTATGATCATTTACCAACAGAAACATGCAATCAAATTTCTTATTTTAATTAAGAAACATGGCACAATACATTTTAATTGGTAGTAGACACCATAAAAACAAGAAGGATTAAAAACACAAAGAAATGTCTTCCTCTTTAAAACAGATAATTTGGACTCCTCCTGTTCATCCATGCATTCACTTAATAACCATGGACAGCGTGCTTTCTATGTTAGATGCTGTATCCCCTAACACCCCTTTATAGCTCTTCATTGAGGTCTAGATATTTTGGCCCATGCTTCGGATGCAGCATTTCATGGGACACCCTGATGGATCTCCTGTGCTGTGCTTCCTTCTGTGGCTGTGGGTGCCACGCTGGAGCAATGCTTAGGAGGAGCGGAGTATTTCCAGGTGAGCCCCTACACTCACTGCACCTCCCATGCTCACTCTTCAACACACATTTGTTGGTAAAGGTCCAGTCCTCAAGCTTCAAGGTTTAGAAATTTTATTTTACCAAGGTTGGTCAGGAGCTAAGGGAATGGAGCCAGCTAAACCCAAGGAACAAGAAGCCCCCGTTCATTTACAATGGAAGTTGTCTTGCTGTTGTTTTGCCATTATACCATGAACCTGTCTTGGAATCAATGTGCCTGCACACTGAATTAGGTATCAGAAAATTGGTGATCATGGAATAAGGTAAAGGATTGAAAGGCATTTTTCTTAGGAACGCTTTTATACTGTTGGTGGGAGTGTAAATTAGTTCAACCATTGTGGAAGACAGTGTGGCGATTCCTCAAAGATCTACAACCAGAAATACCATTTGACTCAGCAATCCCATTACTAGGTATATACTCAAAGGATTATAAATCATTCTGCTATAAAGACATATGCAGACATATGTTTATTGCAGCACTGTTCACAATAACAAAGACTTGGAACCAACCCAATTGCCCATCAATGATAGACCAGATAAAGAAAATGTGGCACAGATACACAATGGAATACTATGCCGTCATAAAAAAGGATGAGTTCATGTCCTTTGCAGGGACATAGATGATGCTGGAAAGCATCATTCTCAGCAAACTAACACAAGGACAGAAAACCAGACACCGTGTGTTCTCTCTCATAAGTTGGGGTTGAACAGTGAGAACACATGGACACGGGGGGTGGGAGGCGCATCACATACTGGGGACTGTCGGGGCGTGGAGGGCTGTGGGAGGAGAGCATTAGGACAAATATCTAATGTAGATGACAGGCTGATGCGTGCAGCAAACCACCATGGCGCATCAATACCTATGTAACAAACCTGGATGTTCTGCACCTGTACCCCAGAACTTAAAGTATAATATAAAAAATAGAAAGACATTTTTCTATGGAATGTGAAGGCTACTTCAGTACCAAATAACAGTCTCTTGTGATGAGAGCACCATGTCTGCCAGGCGGCATCTGTTGCACAGCACTCTGCTGTGTCTTCCAGCCTCTGCCTCGTTCCCACTTCAGCCGGGCGTTCCTGCTTACATCTGTGGCAAGCTCTCAGCTAGCTTCTCCTCCCAGACTGAGAATCCTCCTAAACTGCACCTCTTGCCATTTACCCTCTAGGGGACAATAGACTTCTTCATCTTGTACCTGGGTGATACCAGGCTCTCAGAATTCCTAGGGATCAGAGGGGTGGGTAGAAGGACAGGTGGATCAGGTAGATGCATGAAGAGAGGCAACGCCAGTTACTCAGACTCTGCCTGGGCTACCAGAGTCCTGAGCTTCTTGCCCCCATTCGGGAGGTGTTAGGGGTCTCACTCCGAATCATTACTAGTTTGTTCTTTAGCTTTTATTTCCATTTCTTCCGTGTGTGTGTGTGTGTGTGTGTGTGTGTGCTGCCACTGATACTACTTTTCCCTCTCAGCGATTAAAAGAAAAAAAGATACATTTGAAAAAGTGGTGTATTATCTATTCTGTTAATATGATGTCAGTATTTATGAGGTGTGGTCTTTGTGCCTCTTTTTAAAGATATAAGGAATTACTCCATCGCCAAAGTTCGGTGGCTTCTCATATCACAGAGTAAAAGGCAGGTTCCTTGCTGGATGATGGCATCCACATCCCTCACCATTCACCTCCGAATTGCTGAGGTCCTTTCCACCACCCTCCCTTCCATCCCTGAGCACCCCCACATCCCCACTGCTCCACCCACACTCACACCTAAACTGCTATAGACCTTTGCACCTGAGCTGCCATATGGCTCTTTTCTTCCTGCTGTCATTCAAATACCACTCTCACAGGGAGGCCCATTCTCATCTCTCTACACACAAGGGCAACTTTCCCAGCCCTCCCCACCCTTCCTTTTTCTCCTCTGACCTACTCCCTTCACCTCTAGCTCCCACCCCTGAATCTAAGTTCCGCCAGGGCAGAAACGTTTGTGTTTTTTTAACTACTGTATCCCCAGCATCTGCAACAAAACCTTGCACACACTGATATTCACACAGACTTGTGAATTCATGAATGAATGCGTGAGTGAATGAATGAATACATCATATACTATACAAGGTTCATAGTAAAAAATAGCAGCCCCTGGTGTCCCCACTCCTGAATGTTTCTCTCTGAAATCTTTTAGCTATTGTTTCTGGTATTAACCTGCATATCTCTAAGGAATATGCTTACACTGCTATTTCTTGTTTTATCAACTTAAGACGTTAAAGACCGGGCACGGTGGCTCACGCCTGTAATCCCAGCACTTTGGGAGGCCGAGGTGGGCGGATCACGAGGTCAGGAGTTGGAGACCATCCTGGCTAACACGGTGAAGCCCCGTCTCTACTAAATATACAAAAAAAAATTAGCCGGGCGAGGTGATGGGCACCTGTAGTCCCAGCTACTCGGGAGGCTGAGGCAGGAGAATGGCGTGAACCCAGGAGGTGGAGCTTGCAGTGAGCCGAGATCACGCCACCGCACTCCAGCCTGGGCGACAGAGCGAGACTCCGTCTCAAAAAAAAAAAAAAAAAAAAAAAGAAGACATTAAAGACCTAAATCCCCATTGTAGAAGATGGCATCACAGGATTCTTACACCATCTCACACCTCCGGTTGCCATTTCTCTACCTTTCCAGTGTGATTACATCACATTGTCTTATAATTTACATATATATTATCTGTATGGGGTTTATATCCCTTTGCTAGAATGAAGCCTTGTCAGCAGGAATTTGTGTTTGTCTTGCTCACGGAAGTATCCTCATGGCCTAGAACAGTGCCAGGCCCTCAGCAGGTACTGAGTAAATATTTGTGGAGTGAATGGATGAATTCTGAGATTTATGGGCTGTGACTTATCCACCAGTTACTCATCGCTGCACTTTAGGGATGCGTGGGCCACCTCCATGTCCCTGTGCTTTTCCAGCTTGGACTCTCCCTCAAACTCTGCACTTTCAGGAAAACTTCAATGACTCCCTCCCACCCAGCTTTACTTGGGGATCCTTCCTCTATATCCACAAATCTTTTCGTGAACATTATATATAATTCCCGATTAGTCACCGTCTCCGGCTAGGCTGCCGCCTCCTCGGAATCATGGACTGTGTCTTGATTTCTGAACCCTATTGGCTATCACAGCATCCCACCTATTGTAATTGATTCTCAAGCAGCTATGAATGAAGGACACACAGTCCCTGCTTGCCACTTGGAGGCAAGAAAGAAACGACATCTTCCTGTTCCTGGTGAGCCCTAGGGTGAGTCACTTCACCATTTACAGAGATAACATGTGGCTCGATTGCTTCTTCTTTCACTCTTCACTTCCCCAGGTTAATAATTGCCAGATCATGTCATACTCTTTATTTTTTCAACCATTTCACTTCTTGCCATCCCTTTCCATGTCCAAATCTCCCTCAGAAATAAAAATAAATTTCAAATTAGTCAGAGCATCGTGACTTCTTTCAAAGTTAGAATTACTGCCTTATGAAACATGTGATTCAATGTGGGGCTCCGCTTGACAAGATCAAGCATTCTAAACTAAAATGTACAACCAGTGGAAATATCTTCCTGCTCCTCGACTACTGATACTTTACAGCCATGGTTCTCCAACTTTACCATGCATCCGAAGCACTGGAAAGACTTGCTAAGATGGAGCCACAGATTGTGGGGTCCCACTCCCAGAGTTTCTGAGCCAGATAATCAGAGTCTGGGAATTTGCACTGCCACAAGCTCCTGGGTGCTGCTGATGCTGCCAGTCTGAAGCCCACACTTTGAGAACCCTCGCTTTCCCATAATGCTTCAAGAAGTCTTAGGCACTAAGTTGATGCACCTGTGAAGGGGTTAGATTTCCCTCCTCCCTTCCCACCACCGCCAAGATAAGTAGTTGCTGAGTGCAACATTACAGCACTTCTTAAACTCTAATAGGCACACAGATCACCTGTAGATCTTGATAAAATACAGATCCTTATTCAGCAGGTCAGTGGTGGCGATGGGTGTGGGGTGTGGGGGTGGCCTGAGATCTGTAATCAGCCCCCAGGTGAAGCCAATGTGGCTGACTCTCCGCCTAAACTCTGAGCTGCAGGCATTACAAATTATACCAAGTCCATTAGTATTAAAAGAAAGTGACTTTCTTAGGTCTCAAAGCTTTGAGTAGTTTTTGATTTGATTCAGGCATTTGATTCAGGTCTGAGCTCTGAAACTACTAATATACTTTCTTTTTTCCTCATGAGTCATCTTGAGAATATACTTTTATTCTTTGTTTAACATTTTTACAACATAGAAACAAGTTAACATTTTTAACTTTCACCCATATAAAACTTCCAACATGAATGGGCCCAGCTGACTCATTGTCACTGCCCAGAGATCTCTGAGCTCTATTCAAACACTGCAGATAATTGTAAACCTGGAGACAAGGTTGGGAGGGTGGGGCTGTTTATCCTTGTTGATTGAGAAACCTACTCTTTGTCCTGTGCTGGTGTTTTGTTACATAGTTACAGCACTTAGCCTTTCATTGAAATCCTGCCTCAGAACACCATTATCTAATGCATTATTGATCTCGATTCTCCCAAAGGCCTGTGTTATCTCTTTTTTATTTCTTAAGCTATAAAGAGATTGTGGTGATGGGGAAGTGAAAGAGAAAACACCTCCCAAACCTACCTGATCCAGCTGATCCGGGACATATCCCTTTTTTTTTTTTTTTTTTGAGATGGAGTCTCTCCCTGTTGCCCAGGCTGGAGTGCAGTGGCTTGATCTTCGCTCACAGCAACCTCCACCTCAAGCAATTCTCCTACCTCAGCCTTCCAAGTAGTTGGGAATACAGGCACGTGCTACCACATTTGGCTAATTTTTGTATTTTTAGTAGAGATGGGGTTTCACCATGTTGGTCAGGCTGATCTCGAACTCCTGACCTCGTGATCCGCCCGCCTCAGCCTCCGAAAGTGCTGGGATTACAGGCGTGAGCCACCGTACCTGGCCCAGCACATATCCTTTATATCATAATGTTGTGAACACATATATACATACATATGTGTATATATACACCCACCACATATATAATATATACCCACACATACATACACACACATAAAGAGAAAATGCCTCCCAAAACCTACCTAATCCAGTGTGACTCTTACACCTGCAGGTGGATAGTAAGTGGACATTTAGGGGAGGCAGGACAAGCTACATAATTTTCAGGGCTCGGTATAAAGCAGGCATGCCGGACCCAATTGTCAAGAATTTCAACACTGCAACAGCAGAGCATTAATCCAAGTGCCAGGCCCTTCCAAGCTCACGTGCTCATGAGGCTAACCCTAGGGGAAGAACTCTGACATAACGAAAACCCCATGAATTTGGAAGCTCTCACTCTCTTCCCTTCTTCACTCCTTTCTCCCTTTCAAAACATATGTCAGAAAAGAAGAGCTCCAATGACAATGGTGATGTCATTTGTTCTGTGGTTGAATAAACACTCGTATCTCATCTTTGTCCTGTCTCTCCTTCATTTTCTGCCAAATAGCTCAACCTTCCGACTAAGAAAAACCCAACTAGATCCCACTGGTTCCAACAAGGGCTAAACTGAACTCTACCTTTGGTCCGACTATGATAAGATGGTTTACCTAATCTATGATGAGGAAATGTACTGCACAAATATGACTAGAAGGGAGGGTGTGCAGTTTCCTCAAATGAGATTTTCAAGTCATCAGACAGCCCCTCTCAAACTCTGAGGGCTCACCATGGATCTTGTTACAATGCAAATTCCAATTTAGGAGGAGTGGAAGGGACAGAGGGCATATCTACACTGTGAAACTGTGAGGCCAAGGACCATACTTTGAGTAGCAGAGCTCTAGAACTACCCTGTCCCTTAAGGTAGACACTAACCACAGGTACCTATTGAGTCCTCGAAATGTGGCTTGTCTAAATAGAGATATACTCTGAGTGTAAAATGCACACCACTTTTCAAAGATGTAATTCAAAAAATAAAATAAATATCCCATTAAGAATTGTATATTGAGTCTATGTTTTGGATATATTGGGTTAAACAAAGGATATTATTAAAATTAATTTCACCTGTTTCTACTTTTTTAATTTGGCTAGTAGAAAATTTAAAATTACCTATGTGGCTCAGTACTGGACAGCACTCTTCTAGGAGGTCAGGTGGAGCTTGAGTTATCCATCCTCTCCATTTCAATATGAACTCCTTGGGGCAAAAGCACGGAACCAGCCCCGGACATCACCCAGGGAGGTGAGTTCATCTCTTATGGTCTCATCCATCAGGTTTTCTTCTCTGGCTCTCACCACCCCAATACAGACACACACACACAAACACACACACACACACACACACACACACACACAGAGGAGTGGGAAAGACTGGAAGACAGGACCTTGTCTTATCCATCTTTCTGTCCTCAATGCCCAGTACACAGTCTATTATCTTAAGTAATCCATAAATATCTGAGATGTGGATCCTCTATGTAAATCATTCATGGCTCCTCCCACTTATACTTCTGGGTCACTGTAAATGTTTGAAAGTAGTCATGTGTTTTCTCAATTATATTTTCCTCCGGGTTGTCCTTCAGCTTACCTTGTACTAGCTGCACAGGCTCAGTGAGCATCCATGACACAATGCTACTAGCTCAGTGCATACTGAAGGGTAAATGTTAGTGGCCTTTTCCTTGCCACCACCACCAAGTTTACAATTACAGTACTTCTACTATGATCACGGCTGCCACTAAGAAGCTACACCTCACTGGGTGCTTCCTACATGCCAGGTGCTGTACCTGCACTTCAGATATGGCATTTCATTTAATCCTCACACCACCACCATGCTGGCCATTATTATGGTCTTCCACTTTCCATATGAGGAAAGTGAGGCTCAGAGAGGTTATGAACCATGCCCAAGCAAGTAGCAGAAATAGGATTCAAGTCCAGATCTCTAAAGTCTGTGTTTTCAATCCTGGGTATCTATAACATTAGCAGAGTGCTCAGAATCATCAGTGGAAAAAAGAGGAAAAAGTGAAGTGGGGTGGTTTTGAATAGCACATGAATATGCACACCAGGATGGAGGCATTCTTTCATTTTTTCCTTTGGTCTGTTGTTAAATGTATGTATATCGTATTTCCCAATAAATTAGAAAATGGAAAAAATAAGTCATCAACCTTTTTTCTCTAAATCAAGGAACATAGAAATCTGACATATCCTTTACATCAGAATGTTGTGAACACATATATACATATATATGTGTATATATACATACACTGCATATAGGTAATATATACCCACACATACATACACACACATAAATTGTAACCAGACGCACATGGTAGTAAAATGTGTGCTTTTAAAAAGCCACTGGGTACATCTCTAAGAAAGCCTCACATGATGTAGTAACAAAATGAGCCCTGCAGTAGGGAACAAAACGAATTATTGGTATAGATCAATAGTTAATAACGGTTCAGCTACTAACATGGGGCATGTCAGAGTAACACACTGGGCAAATACACTTACAAGGAGAAATACAGAAGAATAATCCAAAATAAATTACCAATGAATTGTTTTATGATAAAAGCATAAGTTTTGGAATGGTCTTTAAAAGACAGATTTAAAATGTTTGAATCAGGCTCGGGTTTGAAGCCTTTTTTTTTTTTTTTTTTCAAATTGACTTTATTCTTTTCTCATTAAAAGAGCTGTTCCAGGCTGGGTGCGGTGGCTCACACCTGCAATTCAGCACTTTGGGAGGCCAAGGCAGGTGGATCACTTGAGGTTAGTTCAAGACCAGCCTGGCCAATATAGTGAAACCCCATCTCTACTAAAAATACAAAATTTAACAGGGCATGGTGGTGCGCACCTGTGATTCCAGCTACTCGGGAGGCTGAGGCAAAAGAATCACTTGAACTTGGGAGGTGGAGGCTGTAGTGAGCCGAGATCACACCGCTGCACTCCAGCCTGGGCAACAAAAGCGAGATTCTGTCTCAAAAAAAAAGAGCTATTCCATCCCAAAAAGGTTTTATGATGATAGTTTTACTTTGGGGATTATTACCTCTGTATATTAATATCTCAGTACAATTTTAAAACACCAATGCTTTAAAATAACACACAAACTACTGTCACCAAACCAAACCAGGTCCGTTTGCCCTCAGGCAAAGTTAAGTCAAGCACCAAAGCACTGGGTTTTGGCAGTGAGAAAGGTTTATTGTGAGTAGACTGACAAGGAAACTGAAGGAAATGCTCAAATCTGTCTCCCTGAGCTTGAGGCTAGGTCAGGTTTCATAACCATAGGGTAATGAGGATGATCTGATCCTGCAATGAGGTGATGCTGGGAGGCATGATCTGACTGGACCCTGCCATGGGGTGTCCGCTTCTTAATTCAGTCCCCACTCCTTAGTCCAAGCACTTAGGTTCCTGCACACTTGGTTCATCTGGGCATGCTCAGGGGGTCCATGGAACTGAAAAACAACTCACAACAACTCACAACTCTGTAACATAAAAGTTGAACCAGATCAGTCTGATGACGTTATGCTACTTACTAAGTCCATGTTGATAAAACTGAAAAAATACGACCTTTAAAATCTTTCTTGTAGTTCTACCAAAAGAGATTTCATTCACATTTCCACATCAAAAATGTTGGTTGGATAATTTCTGGGATACTAAGAAATAAAAAGGCAAAGACAAAATGATCATAATCATTATAACAAACCTCAGTCTTTTTTCTTTTTTTTTTGAGACAGAATTTCGCTCTTCTTGCCCAGGCTGGAGTGCACTGGCGCAATCTTGGCTCACTGCAACCTCTGCCTCCCAAGTTCAAGCGATTCTCCTGCCTCAGCCTCCTGAGTAGCTGGGGTTACAGATGCCCACCATCACACCGAGATAATTTTTGTATTTTTAGTAGAGACCGGGTTTCGCCATGTTGGCCAGGCTGGTCTTGAACTCCTGACCTCAGGTGATTCACCCACCTCAGCCTCCCAAAGTGCTGGGATTACAGGCATGAGCCACTGTGCCAGGCCCAGATCAGTCATTTTAATACGAGATTGTGACCAGCCAGAATAACTGGTTTCCATTTTTGCTCTTCGATTGATTGATCATTGTATCTAGGGTCAAATTTGCTGTATAGTTTTTCAGTTTTAACAATGCTAAGGCCCTATGTCAGTGTAATCAAGGGAAAGAATCTAAATTAGATATTAAAAACCTGAATCCAAATTCTGGTTGAATGCCATACTTATTACGATCAATAAACATAAATGGTGGCTCAACACACACTGTAGTAAATAATGTGCTTTTAAAAAGCCACCAGATAAATCTCTAATACAGCCTCCAATGACTTAGGAACAAAATGAGTCCTGCTGTAGGGAAGAAAGTGAATTATTGGTATAGATCAAATTGCCTAGAAACATCGTGTGTCAACATTAATGTCAGTTCCTTGGAACAAATATATTGCTCCTTAATTACTCCATGCTTTCAGATGATAGCTCATTTCACAGAGATGCATTTATTTTGAAAAAGTATACATAGCTACCAGCCTGTACACTCTGTCAACATAAGGGTTGGCCATAAAAACCTGTTATATTTTACTCTGGGCAGCAATTATTTAATATCCCTCAACATATGTGTCAAACGCATAAGAAATTGCTCCAGGCTTTTCCACATTTTCATTGCTTAAAAAAGTAGAAAACGCCAAACAATGAGGCCTTCATAGAACCTGAGGCATCAAAAATATTAGCTGCATTGTGAAAGCCAAATAGGAGCAACTTATTCTTAAAAAAGAATACAATTAATAAACCACATCTCCATTGACACCTAGTAAGTCCCCAGCAAGGTGTAAAGCCCCGGATTTATAAGGCTACGAAACATATTACAGGAATAAAACCCTAAACCACAAAAAGGTGTACTGTCTACAACGGTTGTGGTCACTAGGGAACCCTGTTTCAACGCTGATGCTTCTCTGCCTTCCCTTTTCTAAATCAGGTTAAATGGGGCTCCTCACAGTGGAGCTGTTCCTCCTGACCCTCTGACACCCCAAACTGGACTATCCCCGGACTGATTACCTTATCACATGCTATTTTCCAACTACGCAATGAACATATCACCTGGCCCCCTAAGCCTGCAGATTGACCTGACTCATGCAATTATTTTTGTTGATTTTTTAGAGACAGATTCTTGCTCTGTTCCCCAGACTGGAGTTCAGTGACACAGTCACCACTCACTGCAGCCTCGACCTTCTGGGCTCAAGCAATCCTCCCACTTCAGCCTCCAAAGTAGCTGGAACTACAAGTGCGTGCCACCGCACCCTGCTATTTTTTTTTTTTTTTAATGTTTTGTAGAGAAGGAGTCTCACTATGTTTACAGGGCTGGTCTTGAACTGGATTCAAGCAATCCTCCCACCTCGGCTTACAGGCGTGAACCACTGCGCCCAGCCTGCAATTATTTATCTTCAGAGTTCCCTGGGGTCCGGCAGAAGAAGTACTAACAAGGGCCCATAGGAAAGGAGCAAGCAAGAATCCCTGGGAAGTGCTGTGAAAAATCAGGAGGAAGTGAGGCTGAAAGCCGAAGAAACCGGGGAAGGCTTCCTAGCAGGGTGGCTTTCAGATGTTTTCTCACTGTTCTGCTCCCACATCCCACAGACCCTCATCTTCCTTACCAACCACGTTAAAATGTGAGCGGTCTTTATTTGGAGTTCTCTGACTCTTTCAGAGTTAAGACACGAAGAGATGGAATGAATGTGACCTTTATAGCCTCCTTTCCTCCCTTCTCTACTCAGTGGTTCCTTTCCAGCCCACCTCTGCTCATTTCCCTGCCTCAGGGCCTTTCACATGCCGGTGCTTCCCATCCAAGCCCAGATCACACCTCCAGGAAAGGTCTGGGGGTGAGTAAGTGCCCTGCTCTTCCCCACCTGCTCTAGGACTCCAGATCCTAGGGAGAGGTTGCACATCTTGCTCTGAAAGCCACCCCTCTAGAAAGCCTTCCTGGCTTCTTCAGCTTTCAGCCTCACCTCCTCCTGATTTTTCACAGCACTTTCTAAGGACTTTTGCTTCCTCCTTTCATACATGCCCTTGTTAGCATTTCCTCTGCCAGACCACAAGCTCCTCCAGAGCAGTGTCTGACCACCCAGGAGGCACTCAGCAAATCATAAATAGTTTAATTTGCCCAGATACGTTTCTGTTTTTAAAAACCAGTTGTCAAAACTTCATTTCATCTTTTGCCAACTGCCTGACTCAGAAGACGTTGATGTTCGTTTGTTTGTTTGTTTGTGTCTGTTTGTTTGTTTGGAGACAGTGTCTTGCTCTGTTGCTCAGGCTGGAGTGCAGTGACGTGATCACCGCTCACTGCAGCCTCAATTTGCCAGGCTCAAGGGATCCTCTCACCTCAGCCTTGCGAGTAAATGGGATCACAGGCGCGCACTACCATGCCTGGCTAAATTCTGTATTTTTTGTAAAGATGGGGTTTCACCATGTTGCCCAGGCTGGTTTTGAACTCCTGGGCTCAAGCAATCCGCTCACCTCAGCCTCCCGAAGTGCTGGGATTACAGGTGTGAGCCACCACGCCCAGCCCAGAAGATGTTAATCTTTACAGGCAGTTTTCCTAAAACCTGTTTATTAATACAACTCTTCCTTGCAAAATTAGGTGTTGGGAAAAGCGTTCTTTCCCTCTCTCTTTCCATCCCTCCATTTCAAGCTCAATCCTGTACTCTGCAACAAATTTTCAATATGAAGCTTCTCTTTTAACCAGTCGGATGCTTTGTATGGTTTGTTTTTCCCTTTTTACTTAAGTGTGTGCACATTAAAAAGTAATGAAATACCCCACCGAGCAGAAATGTGAACACATCTGCCGTTTGCATTCTGAAAAACGAATTAATAATACATCTCTTCATCTAGTCTGATGCATCCATATACATCGTGCCTTGCTCTAGGAGCATTCTGGAGCCAATGATCGCCGCCGTATCTTAGAGCACCTGTTTCAATTTTGTGTGATTAGTAGCACGGGAAGGACCATATTGAAAGAGGAGGTCTCTAGCCCCAGGTAGAAACAAAAATGTATTGAGTATAGACCTTATATTCACCTTTTAAGCAGTAATTTCGTTGATGAGAGTTTTGTTTATACATCAGGATGTTGTTGCCAAGACAGTTTTCCTGGGTCATGCAAAAGCACTAAAAATCAATTTGCAGAGCAAATATTATGTAGCTTAATCTCAACTTTCTATATTTGTACCGTTGCTATAGGCAAGTCATTAATCTGCATATGCCTCAGCTTTTCATTTGTAAAATGAGGATGGCCTACATGACTTTCAAGGGCTCTTTCAGATATGATAGCCTATATGGTTCTTTGTATTTAGAAACAAGCCTCATGAAAAATAAAAACACATGGTGAGTGATTTGTCACTTGCTTACTTGTTTTCAAAAATAGTAAGTTTGGGTTGTCCAAGTAACATAAAAGCATATCAGAAAATTAAATCACTGATGATTTCTCCCTTAGAACATAGTCTAAAAAAGTTCAATGCTAATTGGTTATTACCATTTAGTTAGCTAACAATATTATAGCCTATAGCTAGGCAATATTTTCTAGAGCTTTCACAAGCACCATAAATTCTACAGTCTTCAGTTATCACAATGAATGAAACGCTCAATGATGTGATAATGCAGCAGTTTAGAGAGAAGAAGCCTCCAGGCAGCAGCAAGGGCTATGCAAGATGGCAGCCTCTCCCAGGAGATGCTGTTTCCTGTGGTCTGTCTGTGCAGATTTGACTCTGGAGTTTTGGAAGACTGAGTGAACTAGAATCATGGTGGTAATTTATATATGAGGGATAAACATAAGAATCATCAAGACTGGCACCGGGCATGGTGGCTCACACTTGTAATACCAGCACTTTGGGAGGCCGAGGTAGGTGGATCACCTGAGGTCAGGAGTTCGAGACTGACCAACATGGTGAAACCCCATCTCTACTAAAAAATACAAAAATTAGGCCAGGCGTGGTGGCTCACACCTGTAATCCCAGCACTTTGGGAGGCGGAGCTGGGCAGATCACCTGAGGTCAGGAGTTTGAGACCAGCCTGACCACCATGGAGAAACCCCGTCTCTACTAAATATACAAAAAATTAGCCGGGTATGGTGGCACATACCTGTAATCCCAGCTACTCAGGAGGCTGAGGTAGGAGAATCGCTTGAACCTGGGAGGCAGAGGTTGCAGTGAGCCGAGATTGCACCATTGCACTCCAGCCTGGGCAACAAGAGCAAAACTCCATCTCAAAAAAAATATATATATATATAAAACTTAGATGGGCATGGTGGCAGGTGCCTGTAATCCCAGCTACTTGGGAAGCTGAGGCAGAAGAATCGCTTGAATCCAGGAGGCGGAGGTTGCAGTGGGCCAAGATCATGCCATTGCACTCTGGCCTGGGCAACAGCGCAAGATTCTGTCTCAAAAAAAAAAAAATCAATAATACTGGAGAAAACCTTTCCTACGTACCTTATCAGTACCTTATTATGCACTCCCAGCCTGGTCTCCAAATCAGAATACTCAACAGTCTTCCTCTTCATCCAGGTCTCCTCCACCTAAATCTGACACAAGTGCTACAAACTTGGCATTTCCACAAACACACCATGTTTCCCTTTGCAATGAGATTCTGTCATTTGCAACAACATGGATGGAACTGGAGGTCATTATGTTAAGTAAACCATCTCCCAAACCATCTCCCAGTCCTGTCCCAGTGTCCCCCTTGCCATGGGGTACCACTATCACCACCCAGTCATTCTCATCTCATCCTATTCCCCATGTCCCACACCCACTCATTCCACAAAGGAATCAGGGCCAAAGCCCATGCACACACTATACCCAAGAAAGAGAGACATGCACAGGAGAGATGAACGGGGTGACCAACTGTCCTGGGACTGACTGTCCCAGTTTTAACTCTGAAAGTCTCACATTGCAGAAAGCTCTGTGTCCTGGGCAAACCAGGACAGTTGGTCATCCTGGAGGGAAGGAATTTGAGAGCACAGGGATGGCTTCCTGGAAGAGATGACATGCAGAAGAAGAGAAGGGGATGGAGTATACAGAAGCATGGAATGGAGGAATCAGTGGTGTGTGTTACTGGAGTGTGCCATCTGAGGCATGGAGGGGTGACCAGGGGGTCTAAAAAGGTAGGCAGGAGCTAGATCTTTGAGAGCTGTATATTGGACTTGACTACATACTGTTGTCAGTTTTTTACAGAAGTGAAATAATCAGATTTGCATTTTTAGGTAGGTGTTTGAGACTGGACCTCAACGTTCATGAACTAATGATGGCTAGAAACAGGTGCTAATATTATTTTTAAATTGTCAGTAACTTCTTTACTATGATTCTAGAGGTAGGAACTAGAATTAGTCTTGGTGACAAATTATTCTTCTGTTTTGGGAGGAATTCAGTTGGGCTCTCTCTTAGTCAAGCTTGTGTAAAATAAGTACTCACTTGTCCTTGGCATAACACTGGACATGGGCAAAATAACACGGATACGGAGCCAATTGCAGGGGTGAAGAGGACCGTTGAGCCTGTGGCTTCCCAGTCAGAGATTTAGGATGTTAAATCCAAATGCAGCCCTATCTGGTTTCAAACGTCACCTCTGGGATGAAAAGATTATATCCATCTTGGCTAGGCACAGTGGCTCACACTTGTACTCACAACATTTTGGGAAGCCGACGCAGGAGGATCACGATTAAGATATCCATCTCATCCGTTGAAACTATGCCCCCACACTGGACCACGTAGCCTATAGTACACTAAAATAAGTTAGTATTTTTTAAATAAATCTTGTGATTGGTACAGGTTTATTGTATTATGAGATTTTGTGTTGCAAATGGTAATGTAAAGGAAATATAAACACTTTAAATTTTTTTCAATTGTTTAATATACCAGGAGCTTCAAAAATTGGAAATGGTCTAGATGCCCCTCAGACTCTGAAAGGACTTGCAAAGGAGTGTGCATCAGAGACAGGAGGAATCTGTGACCATCATTTGCAATCTACATTATCTATATGTATATCTCTTAAGCATACATTATTTCGTTTTGCCTGTTTTTATACTATATATCAATAAAATCTGGATGGATTCTGTTGTCTTTTTTCAGCATTATGTTTTTTAATATTTATCCATGTCAATAATGTAATTTATCTTTTTTTTATTTTTATTTTTTATTTTTTTTTATTTTTTTTTTTAGGCAGAGCCTGGCTCTTTTGCCCAGGCTGGAGTGCAGTAGCATGATCTCGGCTCACTGCAACCTCCACCTCCTGGGTTCAAGCGATTCTCCTGCCTCAGCTTCCCGAATAGCTGGGATCACAGGCGCCCACCACTATACCCAGCTAATTTTTGTATTTTTAGTAGAGACGGGGTTTCACCATATTGGCCAGGCTGGTCTCGAACTCCTCGCCTCAAGTGATCTACCCAACTCAGGCTCCCAAAGTGCTGGGATTACAGGCATGAGCCACAGCGCCCAGCTAATTTATCCATTTTTAGCTGTTGCATAGCATCCCACTGTACGAACATGTATCAACGCATTTATTCATTCTACTCTTAACATTTGAGTTGTTTCCAGTTTTCTGTTGTGTGTGTGTATGTTAGTACGTGTGTGTGTTGTTAATATGAACAATGCTTCTGTGAATATTCTTGTACATGTCTATCGTTCAATATTTACAAGAGTTTCTCTGAAGTGTACACCTAGGAATTGTTTGCTGAGTGATGGCTATATGAATGTTCAGCCTTCTAAGATAATCTCAAACTATTTTACAAAGTGATTGTACCTACTTATACAGCTAACATGAATGGACTGGAATTCCCCTCGGCCACCTTGCTATCGTCCAACTTTTTAAATTTTTCCGATTGGCAGATGTGGAATGGGCCATTCAGCTTTCCTCTTCTCTGCAAATCTATTCATATTTTGCCCACTTTCTCACTGGGATGCTTTTCTTTTTCTTATTGATTTGTAGGAATTTTCCATATTCTGGAAACTAATTGCTTGTCAGTTACATGACTTCTAAATATCTGCTCCCTGTTTGAGGCTTTTTTCATTATAATTATGGTATATTTTAATGAATAAAAATTGCTAAATCAGTATCAATTTTGTACTTCACAGTTTTCACTTTTTGTGTCTTGTTTAAAAATACTCCTTTACTCTAATTCCTAGAGATATTATTCTGTGTTTTCTTCTAAATGTTGTATAGTTTTTAACTTTTCACATTTTTATCTTTAATGAATCTGGAATTCATTTTCTTATATTTTAGGTAAATTTTGCCTTAGACAGAAATACAACTGCCATTTGTTAAATATGGGATACTCCATTTCTTTCCTCATTGATTTGAAATGCCCAAGCCGTACAAAATTAGTTTCTATAGGCAACAGATCTGTTTCTGAGCTCTTTGTGCTAATTCACTGGCTTATTTCCAGATCATTGTAAGAGCCATCATGTGAAAGGCAAAACCATAAAATTAGAAAACATAATATGCATTCTTTTTTTTCTTCAACTTTTATTTTAAGTTCAGGGGTAAATGTGCAGGATGTGCAGTTTTGTTACATAGGTAAACATGTGCCACGGTGGTTTACTGCACAGATCATCCCAACACCCAGGTATTAAGCCTAGCGTCCATTAGCTATTCTTCCTGATGCTTTCCCCCCAACCACAGGTGCCAGTGTGTGTTGTTCTCCGCCATGTGTCCCTGTGTGGAAAATATAATATGCATTCTTAACCTGTCAATATCTAAAGTTAATCTGTATGTTTGCTGTTTTCCTAAACAGTCCCGCAATTTAGAACAATTTAACTCCATTCATCCCCTTCCAGCCCTCATCTACTTTAATTCCATATTGTTTTTTCTTCTCAATAGATATATTATTTTATAGCCAATACTTGTCTTTACATTTACATTTGGTCGCATGCTTAGCACTCTATTTGTTCATTATTTTAATTCTTTTATGCATCTCAGAACTTTCATCTGGAATCATCTTCCTTCTGCTTAAAACACATTCTTTCAGATTGCTCTTAGTGAAAACTTAGAAGTTGATGGCAAATTCAGTTTTTTAAATGTTGAAAATGGCTTTATTTTACCCTTCTTCAAATATAATGTTACCGAGTCAGAAAATTCCGGAATGGCAGTTATTTCCTCCCAGCACATTGAAGATTCTATTCCATTTCCAGTGTCCATTGTTGCTTTTGAGGAGTCAGTCATCAGTCTAACCACCATTCCTTTGTTGGTGATTTATTCTCTATCTGCTTGTAATTATCTGGTTTTCTGCCTCAATGTGTGTAGTGATTTATTTTTATTCCTTTTGCCTGGAATTCATTAGGTCTCCTTAATCTGAGAACTTGGGTTTTTTTTAAAGAATTCTATAAAATTCTCACTTTTTATTTTGTTGAATGTTTTCTTATTCTCTTGTGTCTTCTTCTGGAACTCTGATTAGACATATTTAGACCTTCTAATTATAGCCTTCATGCCTTCTTGACTTCCTCCTTCGTCACTTAGCTGCATTCTGGAAATTTTCCTCAGAGCTACATTTTGTTCAATAATCCTGGCTTAATCTGTTCCTGGATCCATCCACTGAACTTGTAATTTTAACGGCATTATTTATTTCCTCTGGTTTGTATTTCAGATCTGCTTGGTACTTGCTCCAATTTTAAGTTTGTTTTATTTTCTAAAACAATTTATATTTATATTCTTCATCCAATCATTCTATAGCCACTATGAGACAATAAATAAATCCATCCAACTCATCAAAACACAGCTGAGAATTACCAAATAAGTACAAACAAAAACCTAAATATGACTGATTAACTGTGCAGAATACAATGATGTAAGTTTACTATACATCAACCTCCTTGTACCCATCTCCTCGCTTCAACAAATAACTCAGGGCAAAACTTCCTTCATCCATACTTCCACCCTCCTTCTCCCTGTCTGAACAAGATGCCACTCCAGAGACTGCAGGTTCTATGTCTATCATATGTGATTGCAATAGCTTGGTCATGGTAGAATACAAAAAAAAAGAAAAAAGTTGAAAGCCCTCTGAAAACTGTAGTGCTTATAATAGCCTTCCCAACTACTGGCCATACTTAATATTAATCATTAACACTCTCAGTAGAGTGTCTCAGAAGTCAAAATGTATCTCCTACTAGCTACAAGGAAGTTGGGATCTAATAAGTATTTATTTACAGCTGCAGTCACCCAACAGCCTGAAATACCAGGGTCTCTAAATTCATGACTTTGTGTATGAACAAGGGTCAATAGGATCTTTACTCAGTCCTCGAGATATAACTCAGAAAAATGAATTGCTGTGAAAAACTCACTTGATTTCCTGTGGTCACATTATAAGATCGAATAATCTACAAAAGTACAAAACTCAGTGATATAGAGAAGCCAGCAAATTCTCCTGCCCTTATATAAACAGGTGGGAGGCTTTCCAGTAGAATTTTTTCTACTCCAACAAATTGGTAGATTGAATGACTATACCTCATAATGATGACACTATTGTATCATATTTTAGTTTAAATTTAAAACCTCAAAAACTTACCAAAACTAGCCAAAGATTTCTGGAATAAGATATAGACAAAGTTATTTCTCAAAAAAAAGAAAAAAATTGGCTGGGCCGGGTGCAGTGGCTCACGCCTGTAATGCCAGCACTTTGGGAGGCTGAGGCAGGCAGATCACAAGGTCAAGGGATCAAGATCAGGCTGGCCAACGTGGTGAAACCCCATCTCTACTAAAAATACAAAAATCAGCTCGGCGTGGTGGTGCCCACCTGTAATCCCAGCTACTAGGGAGGCTGAGGCAGGAGAATTGTGTGAACCGGGGAGGGGGAGGTTGCAGTGAGCTGAGATCATGCCACTGCACTCCAGCCTGGTGACAGAGCAAGACTCCGTCTCAAAAAAAAAAAAAAAAAAAAAAAAAACGGCTGGACACAGGGGCTCACACCTGTAATCCCATCATTTTGGGAGGGTGGGGTGGGAGGATCACTTGAGCTCAGGAGTTTGAGTCCAGCCTGGGCAACATAGTGGGACCCTGTTTCTACCAAAAATAAATAAATAAAAATTATGTAAGCATGGCGTGTGTGCCTGTAGTCCCAGCTACTTGAGAGGCTGAAGCAGGAGGATCACTTGAGCCTGGGAGGTCAAGGCTGCAGTGAGCTGTGATTGTGTCACTGCACTCCAGCCTGGGTCACACAGTGAGACCCTGTCTCAAAATAAAAATAAAATGGAAAATAACTAAAAATGGGATTTTCAACTCTTTGATATAAATAGGTCCAGCCATAAGGAAGAATTGTGCTACAAAAGAGAACAAAAATCATCATGTTTAACAACTGCATTCATGTTCTTTTCTAATTATAAAGCTAACTATTGATTTTATAATGCTTCTACACACCTTGATCATGTGTTAGCATATGAAACTCTTAGCTGAGACCAACTTACTATAAAACTTGTGTAATTTAAATAGTATAATTTTCCAATGACTTTAATCTAACAACCTCCTACCCCATTAATCAACACCAAAAACAATTCATCTTTGAATACATGTATAAAGAACATAGTTCATGTGTTTATAAAAAGTTCTTCTCTGCTACAGAGTTTAGCTGTGACATCTATTAACAAAGTAATTTATAACTCTAATAAGTTAGCAAGGTCTTCTTGCTACCAGTCCAGTCATTGGTGGTGAGTACTCAGTATTGGCTGATGAATACATGAATGGATAAAAATATAAGAGCTGCCCACACATATACCATAAAATGCATAAAATAGATTCCATTTTATCTCAATTTTTATTTCTGTGATATAACTAAGATAAAATCAAACACAATGTATTATTTTAAAGTATACTGTTTATAAGAGAGAAATAATATGATCTGACCTTATTTTAGAAGAAAGTTGTGTGTAAAAGAAATTTAAACTCAAAAGTAAAAAAGCCACTGGTTTCTAAAAACTCAAAAAAAATTTTTTTTAAGTGACTGGCTTTCAGAACAACAGCAACAACAAATAAGCCACTAAAATAAGACAATTAAATTCCAATTTTTTTTGCATTTACTTGCTTGCTTAATTATATACAAATCTCAATTCCATTAAAGTATCAGGATGACAATTAATTAGATGTTTTTAGTGACTTTTCCAATCCCTTCTAATTAACTTGGAAGTGATTAACTGATTATCTAATTATATTAATTAGTGATTATCTAATTAACTAAGGAAGTGATTTACATGCTTCATGGGAAGTGTGAATTCTCAGCCAGGGGGTTTGAATGAAGGGAAGCAAGTGACTCAGGCATTTATTGGTTGCTTACAATCAGATTCCCACCGATGAGATCATGCCCATGTGTCTAGAGGTCCACACACAAGCAGCTGCCTCCAGCCCAACCCTGGAAGCTGAGTGTAGTCCCAAGTCCCCGCCTGCACCCCTTCCTATATAAACAGCCACTCTCGCTGTGATTATGGGGGCATACAAGGAAGATCAGGCTTCCATGGAAGCTTCTGCAACTGAAATCCACTGGGGACTTTAGAAGGAGCACCTGTAAGTAGCTTCAGGATGGATGGGGCAGAGTCTGTCTCATGGTGGGTGTTAAGCTGGCCTCATACAAAAGAGGAGACCCATCCTGATACCATGCCAGGTACAAAGCACTGTGTGATTTATTCTAAGTGTCTTGGTAACAGGACTTGAAGCCAGGTGGTGACTGGAAACCTAAAATGCAATATTTAGTCATAGAACATTAGAAATAGAAAGAAAATAACCTCCCAAATCATCTAATCCATCACTCAGCTAAATTCATTTAATTCACATCCCCAAACTACATCTCCAAATGTACAATGGTTTCATTCCTGGTTTAGGGATTCGAGGTTTTGTGTTTGTACAAAATATTTTAATAGTCTTATAAAATAAGATGTCCAAAACACAATAAACTTAAAAGCCAAACACAAGCAAAGCATGAAACAGAGGTTCTGAAGAGCAACTCCTCAATACAAATCAAACATTGTCCTTTATCTCCATTGTGACTTTCAGTTATGTAGGCACATCTGCCTTTTTAGATACCTAAATTATACATGAGGATTGTAAATATTCTTTGTGTGTATGTTAGGATGAAAAAAACCTGCCAAGGCAGGCGCATGGGCTAAAAGAATACACTTTCCTGTTTCCTTTTATTACCTGTTTAATTAAAAAAAAAAAAAAGTTGCCCCTGATAAAAGCCTCCAAGAAATGCCTCTAGTGGTATTTTCTGGAATTGAATTAAGCATATTAACATATTGCTATACAAAGCGGGGGGCGTGGAAGTAAGGCAAGGTGGACTGTGGTGCCAATCCTAGTGACATGTCAGCAGAGGAGGAGTTTCTTGCCTGTGGACTTCATAAAAGGCTAGCTCAACACCCTCCATGAGACACACTCTGCCCCAACCATCCTGAAGCTACAGGTGCTCCCTCCTGGAATCTCCAATGGATTTCAGTCGCAGAAGCTTCCACAGAAGCCTGAGCTCCTCCTTGCAGGCCCCTGTAGTCAGTACAGTGGGCATGCAGCGCCTCGGGACGACACCCAGCGTTTATGGGGGTGCTGGAGGCCGGGGCATCCGCATCTCCAACTCCAGACACACGGTGAACTATGGGAGCGATCTCACAGGCGGCGGGGACCTGTTTGTTGGCAATGAGAAAATGGCCATGCAGAACCTAAATGACCGTCTAGCGAGCTACCTAGAAAAGGTGCGGACCCTGGAGCAGTCCAACTCCAAACTTGAAGTGCAAATCAAGCAGTGGTACGAAACCAACGCCCCGAGGGCTGGTCGCGACTACAGTGCATATTACAGACAAATTGAAGAGCTGCGAAGTCAGGTGAGAGATGATGCTTGTGTTTCCTACTCTGTGTTTAGCTTCAAGATAAATCAAGAGGTTATCTATGTTAGGTAGGTCCAAATGGACTTTGTAAAGCAAATTAGGCTAAAATGTTACATCTATAAAAATTCTTTCATCTACCTTTAGTGCTGGAGTACCTGACTGTACAACAGGATGACCTTAAATCATGCTATTTTTAATGTTTAACACAATTACATACAAAATATGAACATTTTATCCTCCGGAATAAAATGAATCTTTGTCACAGCTTATCACATCAGGGCTAAATGTATAGTGAACAATCTTTCTGAAAAGAGCTAAAAATTAATTACGTGATAAATCTCTCTTAGTTTTTCACCTAGTCCTTATCAAGTTTTGAAACCCCAGTAAATTCAAAGACTTTTCTCCTTTTATTTAAGTAAATGTTATAATATGACTATTAGAATACTGTACTGCAGATTTAAATAGCAAAGTGATTCTGGGTGGAAACAGTGTGGCAGGAATATGGGTCTTAATGATGCCTGGATTTTTAAGTGCCCTGTTTAATAACATGACCATCAGCATCAAGCAGTTCAGAAACTACTTCTACAGTAATAAAATGTTCTATTGCCCCCAATTCATGTTTATTACAATCATATCACAACCTCCTCCTATGTCATCAAAAAAAGGGTGGAGCTCTGTATTTTATCAGTTTCATGGAATAAAAGCAGAAGACTTTGCTCCTAATTGAAAATTTCAGATATGACACAGAGCACTTGCTTCAAATTAAAGTTCTTATCTAATTAAGAAAAGTGTTCACTGTAATTTGTGTTAAGATTCATACTCCTTTAGAGCAAAGCGCATTTACTTACCAGCAAGTCTGTTTTTCTTGAGTTGTACTAAACATCAGGGCAATTTGATTCGGACTCCATGGGAAGTTACTTTGGAATTTTAGAAACTATGGGCATGTGAAGCAATGGCATTTAAATAGCCCTTCCGGAATAAAGTTCATCCTTCGCAAGCTCTCACTAAAAATGTTCGAACCACACCTGTCTCGTGTTTCTGACTCTAGTTTGGTTCATCTGAAATACACAGGCACAGGCCATCCGTCCCATTGAGCTGGACAGTCCCAACCATAGGAAGCAGCCCTCTCCAAAACTGGGTCCATTGAAAGAGAAATGTCATTGTAACATCTTCTGCAAGTAGATTTTTCATCTATATGCCTCCATCATGCATTTCGTTCTTTCATGCATCATGTTCTTTCATTCAGCCAATACTGAATGAACACTAACTAGGTGCTGGGCACCATGCTGGGGACTGAGGAATATTATGGTGGACACAATATGATTTATGAGGATACAGGGATGGACAGAGGGACCAGCACACAGAGGGATAATGAGAGCACAGGCAGATCATCCAGTTCAGTTTTGAGAGCATCTGTGAAGGCTCCTATGAAGCAATGTTGTCGAACCTGAGACATGAGGGAGGAATGGGAGTTCACCAGACCACAGGGGCTAAAAGAAATGTCCTAAGTAGAAACATCAAAGGCAAGGCACTCAATAAGGTGTGATGACTCAAGTTGAGTTAAATTATCCTTCTGTAAAATCACAAGAAAGTAGACCAAACCCTGGGGCATCTAGAGTTGCATTTTATGACTCTGTTATGTTAAATAACTATGTCATTATTTTTTCTATATATTTTCATGTAGAAATACTTGAAATGAACATCATTTTTGACATAATAGTCACTGTAGCTGGGGATAAACTAAATCCTTGTAAACTCCTATCCAGTTGAAAATGTCATTCTTGGCCGGGCACGGTGGCTCACGCCTGTAATCCCAGCACTTTGGGAGGCCGAGGCAGGCAGATCACCTGAGGTCAGAACTTCAAGACCAGCCTGGCCAACATGGCAAAATGCTGTCTCTACTAAAAATGCAAAAATTAGCCGGGCATGGTGGCGGATGCCTGTAACCCCAGCTACTCGGGAGGCTGAGGCAGGATAATTGCTTGAACCTGGGAGGCAGAGGTTACAGTGAGCCGAGATCGTACCATTGCACTCCAGTCTGGGCAACAGAGCAAGATTCTGTCTCAATAAATAAATAAATAAATAAATAAATAAATAAATAAAAAAGAAAATGTCATTCTTTCTCATGTATTTTCCAGATTAAGGATGCTCAACTGCAAAATGCTCGGTGTGTCCTGCAAATTGATAATGCTAAACTGGCTGCTGAGGACTTCAGACTGAAGTAGGTTCCCTAATACGTGGCAAAAGTTTCTGAAAAAGAATTCCTTTAGTAGTCCTTCCAGATACTCAGCTTTCCATATCATTGTTGATAAAGGAAGCACGGTTCAATGTCCAGAATCCTGAAGCCTAAAGGAGGTTAGAAGCTACATGTATGAAGCTAACCCAGCACTCAGGGATGGCCTTCTCTTTCTTGATCCCCCGGCATGTAACTAAACACCTCCAGTAACTACTATTCTCCTTGGTTATTACTGGTTGCTAAATTTTTTTTTAGTAACCTGGTATCTAAACCTAATTCTGCCCTTTGGAGTAATAACAAAGTAATTTACAATTCTCCTTCTCCCTAAGTGCCTTTCTGTTATCTAAAGAGAGTCTTGTGTCTACCCTTGGTGATTCTCCAAGTAATTCTCCACGTTCATTCAAGTGCCTGCAAGTGTATGACCCAAGTTCCAGGGGTGACTCTTGATGATTTCTGGCTTGCCAGTGTTTTACAGGATGGTCTGGCCAACCAAAGAACCAGGACCAATCTATAATAATTAGCTGGGCGTGATGCCGTATGTCTGTAATCCCAGCTACTCCGGAGGCTGAGGCAGGAGAATCGCTTGAACCTGGGAGGCGGAGGTTTCAGTGAGCTGAGATCGTGCCATTGCACTGCAACCTGGGCAACAGACTGAGACCTTGTCTCAAAAAAAAAAAGGAAGAAAGAAAGAAAAGAAAAAGAAAGTAAAAATTGTGTTCACTTTCTTTGTAGTCATCACACCACATGTGACCAGACCTGTTCCTTGCAAACAGCTTCCACACTAAGGCCTCTTCATCCTGAATTTGTACAATGCATTAACACCAAAAAGCCCTTTGTGGTTAGAAGGGTAGCCTTTTAATGCTCCAAGGGATTAACAAGAAGGAAATAGGAAATCAAATCCAAAGATGAAAGCAGTAAAGGTGCATTACTTCCAATTTTACCTAGCACTGAGTGTCACATTGCAGTGTCATTTTTTAAAGTTGGATATTTTAGGAAACTGGGCAGGGCATGCATGATGGCTAACGCCTGTAATCCCAGCACTTTGAGAGGCTGAGGCAGGAGGCTCACTTGAGTCCTGGAGTTTGAGAACAGCTTGGGCAACGTGGCAAAACCACATCTCTATACAAAAATACAAAAAAAATTAGCTGGGCATGGTGGCATACATCTGCTGTCCCAGCTACTTGGGAGGCTGAGGTGAGAGGATTGCTTGAGCCCCAAAGGTTGAGGCTGCAGTGAGCCATGATCACACCATTGTACTCCAGCCTGAGTGACAGAGTGGGACCCTGTCTCAAATACACACACACACACACACACACACACACACACACAGTGTGTATGTAAGATTGTAGAGGAGGATGTAGAGCTGTTTGAGATAATTCACTTTGGATGTCTCTGTTCACAAAGTAATAAAAATAAATCGATCATGTACATTCATTAAGTAAAACTAACCATTATTTAATATCAATAATAAGAACCCTTTGCCAACACAATAATTAACACAATTTAATTTCTTATAAGATAAATTCTAGAATTTAGAAGTGTTCAAAATTATTTCAGATTGCCTTTTTACCAGTCACCCCAAATTATAGAGATTATATTATTGAGCACATTTTCTGACTCCTAGGTTCTTATGTAAATTTCATGATTGTGTAAAGGCAGACATTATAAAGTATTGAAATTGATCTCCTCATAAGCCACATTTAAAAACCTATCCCATTATATTAGATTCTCTCCTTATAATGGCTTCAGAAGGACCAGTTATCTCTGTACACTAATTAATTCACAGGTATGAGACTGAGAGAGGAATACGTCTAACAGTGGAAGCTGATCTCCAAGGCCTGAATAAGGTCTTTGATGACCTAACCCTACATAAAACAGATTTGGAGATTCAAATTGAAGAACTGAATAAAGACCTAGCTCTCCTCAAAAAGGAGCATCAGGAGGTGAGAAAATATTCAGAAGTGGTATTGGAAACAATGGAATGGTTCTATATAATACTAATAATAGGAGGAGCGGGAGAAACAGGAGAAGGGGGAAGAGTTGGTGGTGATAGTGACAGAGATGATGACGATGACAATAATGATACAAGCCCTACCTTCTTTTCATAATGTTGTTGTAAGTTAAATGACTTAGAGCAGCACCTGGACCACAATAAGCCCAACACAAGTTATTATTTTATATCTTTTTTACTTATTCCCAATGAAAGAGGTCATGAGACTCCTTATGTCTTTTCTGCCCAGCCTTATCTGAGAATGTGCTTCAGACTAAAATCAATCAGAAATTTCACTTTCATAGGAAGTCGATGGCCTACACAAGCATCTGGGCAACACTGTCAATGTGGAGGTTGATGCTGCTCCAGGCCTGAACCTTGGCGTCATCATGAATGAAATGAGGCAGAAGTATGAAGTCATGGCCCAGAAGAACCTTCAAGAGGCCAAAGAACAGTTTGAGAGACAGGTAACCACACAATTCTAAAGGGTGAGCAAACGTGTAGATGCTTTCCTCCAGAAACAGATAACTCATTTTCTTTTTCATTTGTTCATTCTTCCTTTCTCTTTCTGTCTTTTCTTTCTTATTTCCACCCCTCAACTATTTTTTTTTCACTCTTGGCACTGTAGACTGCAGTTCTGCAGCAACAGGTCACAGTGAATACTGAAGAATTAAAAGGAACTGAGGTTCAACTAACGGAGCTGAGACGCACCTCCCAGAGCCTTGAGATAGAACTCCAGTCCCATCTCAGCATGGTAAAGCATATCTAACTTCTCTTTCTCAATCTAGTATGTGTTTACCAAGGTCCTCTGTTAGGAACTATAGAAATGCAAAGACCTACAAGAAATAACCCTTCCCCTTGCAGAACTGGCAGGGAAACAGGCCGAACAACTGATTATAATTAAAGGACAGAGAGAAATCGAGGAAAGGGCAATGTACTGCATGAATGCAGAGGAAAGAGTAAATCTGGAAGATTTCACAGGGAAAGTGGCATTTAAACCAGATCTTCTTGTAACTTTTAAGTTCAGGAGTACATGTGCAGATTTATGATGTAGTTAAACTTGTGTCATGGGGATTTGTTGTACAGGTTATTTCATCACTCAGGTATTAAACCTAATACCCATTGGTTATTTTTCCTGATCCTCTCCCTCCTCCTACCCTCCACCCTCTGTTAGGCCCCCATGTCTGCTATTCCCCTGTATGTGTCCATTATACCAGATCTCAAAATCTAAGATAAAATTTTAAGATGGAGAATGGACTAGAGACATTCCAGGCCAAGCAAATCAGCAAGCCCATGACAAATTATGTTGTGGTAAGCAGAATCCCTCAAACCACAGTGGCCTGCAGCCATGATACTACATCCACCGTGACATTTCCTTTCCAAGGGCAAGGCTAAAGGGGTAGGCCCTACCTAGGACATGCCAGTGTCCTGGCAGAAAGAAAAGAGCAATGGTTGGTCCACTTGATAGCTCTTAAAGCTTCTCCTTAGAAAAGGCATTTGTCCTTTGGGAGGCCAAGGCAGGAGGATCATTTGAGGTCAGGAGGTTGAGACCAGCTGGCCAATATGGTGAAACCCCATCTCTACTAAAGATACAAAAATAAGCTGGGCATGGTGGTGTGTGCCTGTAATCCCAGCTACTTGGGAGGTTGAGGCAGGAGAATCGCTTGAACCCAGGAGGCAGAGGTTGCAGTGAGCTGCGATCACATTACTGCACTCCAGCCTGGGCGACAGAGCAAGACTCCGTCCCAAAAAAAAAAAGAAAAAGAAAAGGCATTTGTCAGTTTGACCTGCATTTTATTAACCAAAGAGAGTCACATGACCCAGCCAGGTGTCAATGGATTAAAGGAATCTAATCCTGCAATTGAGAAATGCCACAGATCACATGGCCAGGTCTGATGAAGGAGTGAGAGGTATAACATCTTCACACAGTGGGGAAGCAAGTACTGAGAACAATGCTACAATGCGCCGCACTGAAAGAACAGTAGGTGCAAAGCTACAAGCAAAGAAAAACCCCAAGAGCTAATGATCCTAGCTGGCTGGCTGAGGTTGCCTAGTTGGGAAGAGTGGGAGATGGAGCTAGAAATATACACCATGCCCACAGTGATGAACTGCAGAGACCCTTCTCAAAGGAAATTAAAATTAACCCATCTCTTGAATCAAGTCCTCACATAAGAAGTGCCCTATTTTTCTTGTGCTCATAGAAAGAGTCTTTGGAGCACACTCTAGAGGAGACCAAGGCCCGTTACAGCAGCCAGTTAGCCAACCTCCAGTCGCTGTTGAGCTCTCTGGAGGCCCAACTGATGCAGATTCGGAGTAACATGGAACGCCAGAACAACGAATACCATATCCTTCTTGACATAAAGACTCGACTTGAACAGGAAATTGCTACTTACCGCCGCCTTCTGGAAGGAGAAGACGTAAAGTAAGGCTCTTAGAATCAAGGAATAGGTGTCAATATCTGTATGCACTTCTATTTTAATGTCCCTGTCACTCATTACCCAGCACCAATGCAATCCCTAGGACAGAAGCAATTATACTCACACATGCCTCACCACGAACAACAAAACGAAAATATACCAAAAAATACACACACGCCCAAAATATCAAGTACAGCCTTGAGATCATGTGGTAGGACTGAGTTCTACCACATGATCATTTGGAGATAATTCTCCAAATGATATAGATTATGCTGATATTAATTTTCATCATTAATATATAATTGAAGGCATAATAACCTTTTGGAAATTCTAATTGAGAGCTCATGAATTAGACAATAAGCTGCTGAGGTCCACGGGAGCCAGTCTGAGAATCATAAGTGTGGCAGCAGCAACTGTCTTCAGATACCATACCTAAGAATATCAACAAGAGAACACAAGATTTAAACTTCCATTGTAATTTTGTTATTTTAATTAGAGGAACTTCTTAGCATATATTAAACTGGTCAGTTTTAAATCTATGTATTTTTCAAGTTAAAAAGTAAAATGCTCAAGTTTGCAATAAAAGCAATGTAAAAGGGAAAGATATATGAAAGCAATAACACATTCACTTGGACTTTGAAATATAAAAGACAGGAGTGCATTCCATTTTCAAAACAGCAATAATGCTTTTTTCTGTTTCTTTTTTCTTCTTTTCATTAAAAAAAAAAACAGAACTACAGAATATCAGTTAAGCACCCTGGAAGAGAGAGGTAAGTTCTAAATTTTTGCACATTTTCTATGACATTCAGCTGCTTTCTATTAACTACATGCCACTGATAAAAAGTAAAGTGAGGCTGTTTTAGTCTGTTTTCTGCTGCTGTGACAGAATACCTGAGACTGGATAATTTACAAACAATAGACGTTTACTTGGCTCACAGTTCTGGAGGCCAGAAAGTCCAATATCAAGGTGCCGGCATCTTGTAAGGGCCTTCTTGCTGTGTCATCCCATGGCAGAAAGTAGAAGTGCAAAAGAGTGTCCATGAGAACCAGAGAGCAAGAGGAGGCTAATCTTTCTTTTAGAACTAGCCCACTCTCACAATAACTAACCCATTATCATGGTAACCACATTAATCCATCCATGAGAGAAGAGCCCTCATCATCTAATCACCTTTTACTAGGCCGCACCTCCCAACACTGTTACATTGGGGATTAAGTTTTCCACACATGAACTCCAGGGAACACATTCAAACCATAGCAAAGGCCAATTCTCAAGGGAGCAGATATGACACCAGGGATTCTAAAAATCTTGTACATGGCATAAAGAAACCCTCCACATGGGAACTTGGGCACACTCCTCAGAATGGGGTGATTTTCTTGGCCTGTGCTATTGCTATCTTGAAACATCCTGACATCCTGAAAAGGAAAAACAAGACAAAATTTGAATTCCACTTAAATTCAAGATAATTTATTTCTTGAATTTTTAAGAGTAGGACATTTGTAAATTTGGGGAGAAGCACATTTTCTGCATCTATTTATAAAATGGACTTAAGATTTTTTGAGAAAGAGGATGGGTTTAACATATTTTTCTAAAAGAAGGAAATAAGTAAAAAGAATAATAATTTAAAGTTGAATATTATAAATCAGCAGAGTCATGTGCCTGAATTAACATTTAATGTTTAATATGAATTCAGATATAAAGAAAACCAGGAAGATTAAGACAGTCGTGCAAGAAGTAGTGGATGGCAAGGTCGTGTCATCTGAAGTCAAAGAGGTGGAAGAAAATATCTAAATAGCTACCAGAAGGAGATGCTGCTGAGGTTTTGAAAGAAATTTGGCTATAATCTTATCTTTGCTCCCTGCAAGAAATCAGCCATAAGAAAGCACTATTAATACTCTGCAGTGATTAGAAGGGGTGGGGTGGCGGGAATCCTATTTATCAGACTCTGTAATTGAATATAAATGTTTTACTCAGAGGAGCTGCAAATTGCCTGCAAAAATGAAATCCAGTGAGCACTAGAATATTTAAAACATCATTACTGCCATCTTTATCATGAAGCACATCAATTACAAGCTGTAGACCACCTAATATCAATTTGTAGGTAATGTTCCTGAAAATTGCAATACATTTCAATTATACTAAACCTCACAAAGTAGAGGAATCCATGTAAATTGCAAATAAACCACTTTCTAATTTTTTCCTGTTTCTGAATTGTAAAACCCCCTTTGGGAGTCCCTGGTTTCTTATTGAGCCAATTTCTGGGTTAATCTTATTGATTTTTCAGCATCAGTACAACTCTACAACCTTTGAGCTATATCTGCTTTTTCCCATTGCTTCCACTGCCTTTTAAAACTCAACACAGCTTTTTGAATAATTTGAGAGTCAAATTCAATCACAAATGCTGAGCAGAATAAGAGTGAAGTACACTATACTTAAAATGGAAATAGATTAAAAACAACATTACTGAAACCCTTCTCAAGGCAAAATGTGTCTCCTTTTGATAATAAGCTGCATATACTATCAGGTCCTCTCTTTCTTTATATGGTGAACATATATTTTTAATGAAATGTCTCTCATTTTTTTAATAACAGATTTATTGAGATATAATTCACACACCATGAAATTCACCCTTACAAAACGTACAATTCAGTGGTCTTCAGTATGCTTACAATGTTTTGCAACCATCACCACTATCTAGTTTTAGAACACTTCATCACCCCAAAAGGAAATCTTGTACCTATTAGTAGTCACCGCCTTTTCCCTTCCTCCCAGCCCCTAACAACCACTAATCTACTTCCTGTCTCTACGGATTTGCCTACTCTGGACATTTCATATAAATAGGTTAATACGATGTGTCCTTTTATACACAAATGTTCATAGCAGCATTACTCATAAAAGCCCCAAAGCGAAACACCTCAAGTGTCCATCAACCGATGAATGGATAAACAAAATGTAATATATCCACACAATAGAATCTTATTCGTCAATAAAAAGGAATGAAGTACTGATACATGCTATAACAGAGATGAACTTCGAAAACATGCTAAGTGAAAGAAGCCAAATCCAAAAACAATAAAAACACATATTGTATCCTCACCCTTTTTGCATTTTAGTGAGCAATCATTGCATATGAATGTTTATGGGAAAAATCAATGTGTGCTAAATCATTGTATTCCAGTAAATAGATTGGACTTAAAACTTGATACAGAAGTTGCAAATAAGTGGGATTGAGTTTGATTATTATATAGAAAATAATTACATGATTCATTTAAGAATAATAATATCCACCATTTATTGAGCACTTACTATGAGCCTGTGTGCCAAACATTTCATGCATTTCTCATTTAATTCTCACAATAATCCTGTGAGGTAGAAGCTATTAGGTTGAATCATATGAACTTGCCAATATATGATAATTTCTAAGAGTTGGGAATTTTTGAGGATGTGAATGGTACCACTTTGAATTCCTAAGATGTAATATAATATCTAACACATAGCAGGCACTTGATTCATTATTTTAAATTGAAAGAATAAAGATTTTTTTAAAGCTTTCCAATATATGATAATTTCTGACTTTCAGAAATAGCAATTTTATATGCTATTATATAGCATATATAATAAGGTTCAACCTTATTATGTTACCCCCACTTTACATATGAGGATAAATGAGGACTCATATGAAGACATGAGATAAAGACTTTCCCAAAGTCAAGCAGTTACCAAGTAGTAGAGCGAGACTGAACCTCAGCGCTGTTTCTCTAAAACCAGGACACCCTCATAAGCAACTAATTACATAACAAAGCAATACATGATTCACAGTTGAAATAGGCACTTGCCTATCCGCAGTTATTTTGTTGTTTTCTAATTGTCATTTTCATCAGCCAGACACAACAGCCAATTGTGGCAAATGTCCAGCTTTGCTGGCTAACATCACACATGACTTGATTCAGTACAACTTTTGTCAGAAAAGGTATTCTCACCTATTCTCATTGCCTTCTTTTCCAAAGTGAAAAGATTTCACTCATTTTTTTCTTAATTTTCTTCCAAGTCACGCTAGCTAGTAAGTTGCATTTAAAGATGTTAAGAATATTTAAAAGTGAATTCTTTTTCACCTACTGAGACACATTCCAGAATAGTCTGAAACTTTGACATGCAAATACCAGACTGTGAATCTGATTAATAAGAAACCTATGCAGATGGGTTTGTAACTGATTAGGCCTGACCACTGTTATATGGCAATGATGACACTGTGTTAAAAGAGGTAGGATTGTTATTCTTAATTTAGGATGGTCCTCTTTTAACTACCTGTTAAAAGAAGTAGAATTGTTATTTTTAGATCAGAAAAATGAAGATTTTTTCTTCCTCTTGCTTCTTTGGTCTGTCTCTAGTTTCTTCCAAGCAATCTTTCAAAGAAGTGAGTGAGAGCTACATACATGTGGACCAGATGGTGGAGTTCTACCTCCAGTTCTGCCAGCAGTTACTGTGTGAAAGTGAAGCATTAATCTTTGTATCTATCTATATTTCTGATATGAGCTAAGAACTAGAATGACATAATCCTATTTCTGACAGGTAAACAGATCCAGAGAGAAGTCTTTATCACACATTAGAATTATCATCAATGTATTTTTTCATTTTATATGAAATTGTCAGTGCAGAAGTGAAGCTATCAAACTCAGAGAGAGCCCCTAGAGGTGAGGTTAGGATGGAAATAACTATTTTTTCTGAGCTCTGGAGATTATTTCTACCCAGAGTTCTGAATCATCTAAAAAGGAGAATGACATGGAGTGATACAAAATCAAAACATGGCCAGTGACCTCCTCAGACACTCTGTTCTCATCCACATGCATCAGGATCAGCCTCAGGTACCTGATTAGACCCCCAAGTAACAATTCCAACTTAAAGCATTAGTAGTGATTTTTATTTTTGAATTCTCTTTCAAACATCTCTGTTTTCTCTCCCCTAGGCTCATTTCCAAGATTCCTCTCATCAGGGTATTATTTTATCATCTTCCTGTCTCCTACCACTTTCAAAATTCTCCCCTGCTTTCAAGAACCATTGATCTCTGGAGCCCAGAAGTCAATCTCACTCATACCCCTTAGGGTCCTTGTTTAACCCTCATCTCAAAAGCACAATACATAAAATGTAGGCAACCCAAAATTCTCTCAGTCACTCACAGGATTTTATAATGTTATCCAAAGTGAAAGATGTTACAGATCAAGGGATCAGCGAGTTGCAGAAAATGACAGGTCTGTCTTACGGGAAAAAACTCAGGTAGAAAACCCTGCAAAGACCAGGACAGAAACCAACCTGACATGAAAAGATGAGGGTATGATTTACTCAATAAAAATCTAAAGACTTGTAAAAACCACATAACTAATTTTCTCTATTTTGAACATTTCCTAAACTCTACAAAAATGGAAGATATAATTCTTTTGAACAGTTTGCCCTGGCTATAATCATTTTCCTCTCTGCCTCAACTTATGCAATCACTCTGCCAACAAGCCCAAGATTGTTTATTGTTTTTTACATCACCACTGCCTTATACATTAATGTGGCTGTCAAAGAAAATTATTTTCACTTCTAAAACCTCTAAAGCAGAGTCTTGATTATTTAACTTAGCCTCCCACTTAAAAAAAAAAAAGCCACTGAAGAAGAAATATTTCCCTTTTCAACTTCTGAAGTTGCTCCCCATTCATAACTGAATTCAGAATAAATATTGGTCAAAGCATACCAGTAAATTAGGGCACAGTCATTTTCAAATGAAATGAATTTCAAATGACACATTCAAACACATTAAGACTTAACTTCTTTCAAATGAAATCATTCAAGGAGTGCAGTGATAAAGTTCAGCGAAACACTAGGCTAGGACTCAGGATAAAAAATAAATTAGATGTAGTACCTACCTAACAAGCTTAGTCTAGGATAATATGTTATATGTATAGAAACATAAACAAATAATATATAAACATAATTTTTAGAGATTGAGCAATATTATTTAAATTTTACCATAGGCATTAGAGTTGGAAAGTGTACCTTTCAGCACAAAATCAATTCCAAGTTCAAAAATTCAACTTAATCATATTCCCGTATTATGTGATCAAATCACTGAGGTACAATTTTGAACTTGGCACATTTCTTTTGACATTTTATTTGCTTCTGTTTTCATTTCTATGGCAGTAAAATGGAATCTCTCTGTCTTGGGGGACACTTGGGAGTGAATAATAGTTAACAACCATAACATCAAGTTCTTGTGTGGGGAGTGCAAGTTTAACTTGTGCTTTATAAGATCTCTGGAGATGTAGTTACAGGTCAAAGCTAAAATGAAAACCGCATTTGCCTGTGTGTTTACAGAATTTCATGTGTCATGTTGTTGCTTATAAGCCATGAAAAGTCATTCTCTAGGTCTCAGCCCATACACTGAGAAATTCAAGGAGAAAGCTTAAAAGAAAAGAAAAAAAAAAGAGCACCTCCTGTTAGATGTGCAGGGCAGAAGCCTAGTGTCAGGTGTCATAGCTAGGGGATGTCAGAGTATCCTCTGCCCTTTTTATTGTCACCGCCAGCAGCAAGGTTGTGGTATCTATAGAAGGCACTGCAGGCCCGAATCCTATCTCTGCCTCCTCCCAGCTGCATGGGCGTAAATAAATCACTTAACATCTGGACTCTCAGATTGCTCATCTGTAAAATAGGATAAAAGTACCACCTGAAGCTGGGCGCCTTGAGGTGGCTCATGCCCGTAATCCCAGTGCTTTGGGAGGCCAAGGCAGAAGGATCACTTGAGGCCTAAAGTTCAAGACCAGCTTACGCGATATAACAAGACTCCATCTCTACAAAAAAATTAAAAAAAAAAAAATAGCCAGTGTTGTGGTGCCCACCTGTAGTCCTAGCTACTTGGGAGGCTGAGGCAGGAGGATTGCTTAAGCTCAGGAGTTCAAGGTTTCAGAGAGCTATGATCACACCACTGCACTCCAGCCGGAGTGAGGGCAACCAAGCAAGACCTTGTTTCAAACAAACAAACAAATAAAACCAGTACCACTTTAAGAGCTTGCCGTGAAGGTTAAAAAATAATGTCTGTAATTCAGCTGGCCCAGTGTCCAAAAAGTAGTAAGTACATAATAACTGATAATTCAAACAAGACCAGCTCAGTCAAAATGCTTATAATATAGATTTAAGGAATCCTTGGTAAAAACCTCCATATGGGGCTAAAATCACTGGCATTTCCACTGACCAGATTTTCATTCTCTCAAGAAATTAAACAAATGGATCATGGCTTCTCTCAAGCTGAGACTGCCTTAGGTTGCTACATTCTTTCCACATCTATAGCAAATGTGTGATTTCTGCAAATCTCTTGCTTAAACCCCCTTTATTTAGAAATCCCACTTGCTTGCTCTTTGTGACGAGTTTAGGTTGGGGAGAAATATGTCCCTTCACATTTGTCCCTTATGTAATAATATAAAAGGAAGTTGTAATTGGATTTCACCACGGGTTCATCATTTGTGTCCCTGGGAAAGTGGCTTTTTTTTTTTTTTTTAATAAAAAGTCAAAACAGTCCTTCCATTTGCCAGAATTGATCCCAGGTATTCCTTATGGAGGTTTGCCATGGGCTTCAGGTGTGACCCCTCGGCATCTGTCCCCTAATCCCCAGTGGGCACTGCTAGTTCTGGCTCAGGACTCTTCACAATGGAAGAACCTCAGCTTCGGGGAGGCTGTAATCAGGGAGATAATATCTGGATATGCAGGTGGACAGGAGGCAGCAGTAAACTACGGGGAATCTAGGCTACAGGTCTGGAATTCCTCAGGAGTCAGTCTGTACTCTACAAGGCAAAACAAGTGCTAACCATTGAGACTAACTCCAATGAGATAAAGGCCAGCGAAAGAAGCATTCTCAGGAGAAAGGGCTCCCAGGGAAGGTGGAGCAGCAGGGGCTGCAGAAGATCCCTCTGCAGGGAGCACCTGCACACTGGCACCAAGCAAAGACATCTGAGTGCATGTTTCTGGGTGTGTGTGTGTGCATGCATGTGTACATTAGAATGAGAGTAACATCTGAATGTGTCTACATTGTGAATCCACGAATACTTAAATTATTATACTTTGTAGCTTGCCTTTATATTGATACACTCTTTTTTGATTTTGGAAAAATTTCCTCATACATAACACACATTAATGGCCCAGCAGCTTGATTTATCAAGAGAGAAATCAATAAGCATATATTGAATGCTGACTTTGTCCAAGACACTGGGCAAATGGACTAGACATTGAAGAATGGAGGTAACAGCAGACCTAGTACTTGAATACTTTCATGTTGGCTTGGTTGAAATTCTTGATTTAATTTTCAAAAAGACCACATCATTTTGACATAATTCAAGTTGTGTAACAGTTACAGGCTTACTTCACATATTATCTCTGCTATTGAAGTGTCCAAAAAAATCAGGTTATTGTTTTAGTAAGAGAAACAAAAAGTATTGCATATGCTTATGGAAAAACCTTAAACAATAGCCACATATTTGCTAATTTTTATGGTTGATTGTTTGTATTAAGTAAGTAACATCTCAATGATCTCACAGGTATCCAATAATTTTGCTGAGAAATTAATCTTTACCAGATAGATTCAATCTCCACTTTAAAATGTATAGAAAGCCTCCTTTTTGGGAATTAAACATTGGGCACTCATGGACATATAGAATGCCAACAATAGACACTGGGAATTACTGTGGGGAGCAAAGGTTAAACAACTATTGGGTACTATGCTTACTACCTGGGTGATGAGATGAGTCGTACCCCAAACCTCAGCATCATGAAATATACACACGTAACAAACCTGCACATGTACCTCCTGAATCTAAAATTAAAGTTGAAATTTTTTAAAAAAAATCCAGTAGTGGTAAATAAATAAAAATAAAAATCTTCCTTTTTATGAAAGGTATGTATTATTAAATCAAATAAGAATTCAATTTTATTTTAGAAATCTAGAATACTTGTGATATTTTTAAAACTTTTCCTTAGAATAAAATAAAACGCAGAATCCAAATATACCAAATTGAAAAGGAGTTTTAGTGGCCATCTATAAGCAAACAGAGGTCCCTGATGGAGAAATGAAGGCCCTGTTTCCCACGAGGTAGGAAATGTATCATTACAATGATTTTAATGTATTTTATTTCAATAAATCCATTCTAGTCAAAATACATATATGTCTATAGCACACACAGTCAGTGTATACCTTATTAATAAAATTCAGTATAAACATCTTTGCAAAAAAACTGTTATTTACACCCAGAAATTTTATTTCCTATCATCAAATACAGAGCAAACTGAATTTAGAAATCTGAATCCAACAAAGGATTTCGAAGAATCCACAATCCATGTTCTGTACCCAATTATTAAAGTTCAAGTGATAGATAAGTATATAATCTTAAGAGAAAAGCAGATTATAAAATCTTATATTGAATCAATTATGTTCAAAAATGTATATAAAATACTCATATATACATACATCTTCTTTATGTTTTCTGCATCTTCTAAATTTCCTACTATAAATACATAGAGAGCTATATTTAAAAAAAAACTATAGAACTATTTTGCAATGAGACATGTAGAGAATTGGGCCATCATCTCAAAGAAAACATGTAAAAGAAAAATCCTTATTCCTTCTTATCCAATCAAAATGCTCACAATTTAAATTCCTAAGGGAATTCCACCACCCTGGAATTGTACTACTCGGTTTCCAGGTATCTACAACTCTCTCTGAAAGCAGGCTTCTTTCAAGTTAATGCATTTCCTGTAAGAACGTTAGTTCTCATGTTCAATATATAAGCCATATCAATTTCAAAGATAAATAATATACCAAACAAGAAAGTATAAGAACTTTATGTCTTAAAAATTAAAGATACTGGATATAATTCCTTGAAGCACGCTTTGCAAAGTTTTCACAACAAAGTTTAAAATATAACATTTAATTTATTCTATATTGTAAAATTTATCCTTTTTCATCATAGCAGTCAACTGAAATGGTTCACTAGCCTCTTAAACTTGGGGTTTTAATCATTTCTTAATTTGAACTGTGTTTCCACTTTCTCCTTATTGATAATGGCAACAAAATCTGAAGTGTTTACACAATCCATTCAACTAGTCAACACATTTATTGAGCAACCATTACAGGCAATATCTGTTGAAGGAATAAACATAGTAAATGCTGAGTGTAGAGCAGTGAGCAATCAGACAAGGTAAAACTGCTAAAACAACTATAATAAACTCTACTATAAACAACTGTACTCAAAAATAGTACTTTTCCAAGTTGAAGAATAAGAGGGAAAAGAAACATGCAACATCCTAAAGCCAAGGTTTTAAAATCCTTGAAAATGCAAATTCTAGTATCCATCTGGAAAATATATTTATTCTCCACCTTTCACCAGTGCATTTCACAGCTGCTTCTGAAGCTGTATTCCACTAAAAGGTATACTTGATCATGACTGGATTTTACATTGGATTGGTTTTTCCAAAGGAAACAAATGGTTTACACTGGATTTTCCAAAGGAAACAAACAGAAAAGATCAGGGAAGAACTTAAAAAAGCATAAGGTTTAGGAAGAAGTATTTAACGTATCCATTCAGCAATCGCTCATTATCTTCCTACTGTGAACAAGACGCTAGGCAGTGCTGGGAATACAGGCAACAGACTAATTTGGAGAAGAAAAATTCCTTATGACAAGCAGACTCTACTCCACCCAGCTTTCTTTTTCATATAACAAATATTTAATGGAAATGATTATTCGATTATTTCTGTATCAATGAATTTTCATTATACATAAATCATTCACTTGTTGAGCTGGCCAAAAACCTGGGGGGAGGATCCAATTTTGAGTGGAGAAAGTGAACTTTTCAACTGCGACACCCATCTTGCAGCCTATATAAGTTTAGCTTTCTGGCTTGCTGGCACAACTTCCTCTCCAGTTGTGGCCACCTTCCCCAGGCCATGGATCTCTCCAACAACACCATGTCACTCTCAGTGCGCACCCCCGGACTGTCCCGGCGGCTCTCCTCGCAGAGTGTGATAGGCAGACCCAGGGGCATGTCTGCTTCCAGTGTTGGAAGTGGTTATGGGGGAAGTGCCTTTGGCTTTGGAGCCAGCTGTGGGGGAGGCTTTTCTGCTGCTTCCATGTTTGGTTCTAGTTCCGGCTTTGGGGGTGGCTCCGGAAGTTCCATGGCAGGAGGACTGGGTGCTGGTTATGGGAGAGCCCTGGGTGGAGGTAGCTTTGGAGGGCTGGGGATGGGATTTGGGGGCAGCCCAGGAGGTGGCTCTCTAGGTATTCTCTCGGGCAATGATGGAGGCCTTCTTTCTGGATCAGAAAAAGAAACTATGCAAAATCTTAATGATAGATTAGCTTCCTACCTGGATAAGGTGCGAGCTCTAGAAGAGGCTAATACTGAGCTAGAAAATAAAATTCGAGAATGGTATGAAACACGAGGAACTGGGACTGCAGATGCTTCACAGAGCGATTACAGCAAATATTATCCACTGATTGAAGACCTCAGGAATAAGGTAAGATCTCTTTTGGAGGCGCTTTGGGAATTTTTTTTTTCCTTTTTACCATTACAATGTTTTACAGTGATAATCACCTACAACTTTGATATTTTCCAATTTAGCTGTACTTGCAGCAATTTTCTCATCCCAGGTTGTTTCACTCCACTTTATCATTTACTAAGAAATGATTGTATTTCCATTATCTTTCTGTAGGAAATCTGCATTTCTTTACTTCTCAATATTATTTTATACAGATATTGTCTTAGAAAAATGAAACTGTCTTAAACTCTAAATAAAACAGCATTTAATATCACCATTTTCACCTTTGTGTCAAAAATATATTTGTATAATACTAGTCTTTTAGGGCTTCAATCTTGTGTGTGTCCCTCTCTTTTGCCAGATCATTTCAGCCAGCATTGGAAATGCCCAGCTCCTCTTGCAGATTGACAATGCGAGACTAGCTGCTGAGGACTTCAGGATGAAGTGAGTCGAATAAACTGAAGATCATGGGCGTGTCCCACCATGTCTTCTGTCCTACTGTCCTGCCTTCATTGATATAAAATCTTCTGAAGTTCACATACTCCATATATTTACTGTTTTGGTAAATTCACATAGGGTGTTCTAGAAAGTAATTAGAATCTAATGCAATTCAGATTAAATGTCCTTAAATTATAAGTTACTTAAACCCAGGGCTATGGATCACGATATTTGTAGTGTGCTATTGACTCAACTCATGATGTGACTGACACCATAATCCTACCAGTGTCCTAAACCTCAATTTTCTTTTTTTGTTTTTTGTTTTTTGTTTTTGAGATGGAGTCTCGCTCTGTCACCCAGGCTGGAGTGCAGTGACGCGATCTCGGCTCACTGCAACCCCTGCCTCCCAGGTTCAAGTGATTCTCCTGCCTCAGCCTCCCGAGTAGCTGGGATTACAGGCGGCTGCCACCGTGCCCAGCTAATTATTGTATTTTTAGTAGAGACGGGGTTTCACTATCTTGGCCAGGCTGGTCTCAAACTCCTGACCTCATGATCCACCCGCCTCTAAACCTCAATTTTCAATGTATCAACCATTGTTTTCCTGATGACACATACAATGGAAAGATTAACCATGTACTAATTTTTATATTCCTTCCTCCTTTTCCATGCTCAACTCTCCCAGATATAGGTAAGAAATACTAATTTCCTTTTTGCTTCACAAAATTTCTACACAGGAAGTTGCAATGGCCATGGTTCTGAACCTGTAAAATCTTAGTCAAAGCCACTAAAGAAGTATCAGTGTTTTAAGTTAAATCATGAAGAACGTTAAGCAAAAAGAGTAACTTATTTTCAACGGCTTTTAGAAATTCCACTTAGAGAGGGGCTGCTGCTATTTACAGCCACGGCAGCCAGCCAAAGGGAAAATTATTCCCTGGGATGCTGTGGTATTGGGATTCATCGCTGGTAGGAAAGTATTGCCTTATAATTTATTCACTTTTCTTCTCCTCCCCAACTGAACAGTAAACAATGGTGGGAAAAAAGGAAAGGAAAAACACAACAGCAAAAACTGCATCATACACTACAATGCTGCCATTATTAAGTAGGTGCACAGATTTAAGCAAGAAATAGCCCTGAAGATCAGTGGCCTTGTTCAAATGGTTGTGTTGATTCCCTCAACTGCTTTGCACTTGGTTTTCAGGTATGAGAATGAACTGGCCCTGCGCCAGGGCGTAGAGGCCGACATCAATGGCCTGCGCCGGGTGCTGGACGAGCTGACCCTGACCAGGACCGACCTGGAGATGCAGATCGAGAGCCTGAACGAGGAGCTGGCCTACATGAAGAAGAACCACGAGGATGTGAGTCAGACAGGGCAGCCTCACTCAGCTACTTTTTTTTTTCTCCCAGACCCAAAAATTACAATTTCAAATTTAGAAATCTGGAGTCAGGACAAGTATGGAGAATACATTGTCTCCCTGTTAAAATGGCCATTTGTTTTAGATTTCTGTGTGATGTGTGTGGTATGTGTGTGTGTGATGTGTGTGTGTTGGTAGTAGTGATGGTGGTTCCTGCTAAGGCTCAACAAATTTGAGGCACTTTCTGATTTTGTCATTTTCATTATAAGGCAATGACAATAGGAATGCTAACAGTCCTAATTCAGTGATTTTAAAAAGACTGAGTATTTTAAAAGTTAAAACAAAAGTCTACCAATAATATATAATGTTTTATATGTCAGAGAAACTGGTTATACTTAGCATAATGCACACCAGAAAACTCTGAGGTGCCATGGTGCATATTGGAGGCTAGGTAGGGAAGGGATGCTGGCAATAGGAAGTTTCTACTAGATTTTCGATGATTGTGGCACAAACAGCGTGCAAGCCCAGGTACTGTCTGCAGCCCTCGGTTTGGCAGCTGTAGGTGAAAACCCCAGTGAGTGTACGCCAGGCCTCCTTTCACGTGAAGGTCGTGGTCCCTCAAGAAGCAGAGCCAACTTACCCATTAGGCACAGCAGGCACTGCTCCCAGGGTCTGTGGTAATTTCAGGGACCCATGAATATGTCTTAAGTTCTTGTAATATCAGAAGAAAAATATGAATTTTGAGGTTAAAAAAGTTTTAATGTATTACATTAATATATTTGTCTTTATACCAACAGTCATAAGATAGAATTTTTAAGTGTGTGTGTGTGTGTGTGTGTGTGTGTGTGTGTGTGTAGGAAGGGGCCCAAGAGGACAAAAGTATCCAGGGCCCACGAAAGTCACAATGGACCCCTGTGCCCCTCTCTCTCACATGCTGTCCCCAGGAGCTCCAAAGCTTCCGGGTGGGCGGCCCAGGCGAGGTCAGCGTAGAAATGGACGCTGCCCCCGGAGTGGACCTCACCAGGCTCCTCAATGATATGCGGGCGCAGTATGAAACCATCGCTGAGCAGAATCGGAAGGACGCTGAAGCCTGGTTCATTGAAAAGGTAACACAAACAACAAAGGCTTTGATACATTCACAGAAAGGCCTGCGAACGAGCTCAGCGCTCGAGCCCCCTGGCTGTCTTTGCTGTTGCAGAGCGGGGAGCTCCGTAAGGAGATTAGCACCAACACCGAGCAGCTTCAGTCCAGCAAGAGCGAGGTCACCGACCTGCGTCGCGCCTTTCAGAACCTGGAGATCGAGCTACAGTCCCAGCTCGCCATGGTAGGCTCGTGCGCAAACAGACGTAGCATCCTTTGGACTTCCAAAGAAAATGCTGCATCCAAATTACATTAGCCGTTGGCTACCCTCCTCTTTTCGGTCCCCTCCATCGTTATTTCTATGCCATTTCCCTCCCACGTGCAGAAGAAATCCCTGGAGGACTCCTTGGCCGAAGCCGAGGGCGATTACTGCGCGCAGCTGTCCCAGGTGCAGCAGCTCATCAGCAACCTGGAGGCACAGCTGCTCCAGGTGCGCGCGGACGCAGAGCGCCAGAACGTGGACCACCAGCGGCTGCTGAATGTCAAGGCCCGCCTGGAGCTGGAGATTGAGACCTACCGCCGCCTGCTGGACGGGGAGGCCCAAGGGTGAGCAGACAACGGAGGCTGTAAACACCTTCAGGGGCTGACCAAGAGTGGGCAGCAGAAATAGAAGGAATGGGGTTTTAGTTGACAGAAAAGCAAACAAACAAACACAAGTCTAGTAAAGATATGCCTGGGATTTACTAAATGCTCTACACTTTGCAAAGTGTTTTCACCCATTATCTTACTTGATAATTCATAAAATGCTGCAAAGAACAAAGGCACCACGGTCAGAAACAGTTTGTAAATGAGTACTCCCTGTACTATAAAAGTCACTTACTCAATTTCTGATATCAAAGACCTGATGATAAGAAGGACACATAGTAGCCACCTGAACCACCTACTCTAACAAGCTTTCCAAAAGTGATCAGAGTCTGCACTAGTTGGAAGAACTCAGGCCTACAAATTGGGAAATCTAATTTCTCAGACCAGATCTTCCATTAAAAGCCAGGTTGTTTCACTTTTTGAGGTCATCTCCTTTGTTTTCTTACAGTGATGGTTTGGAGGAAAGTTTATTTGTGACAGACTCCAAATCACAAGCACAGTCAACTGATTCCTCTAAAGGTATGCAGAAACCCTAGAATCACTTAGAATAAGTCGGAATCACATTTATTAATGCAAAACCTGTAAGACCTCATTGACTACTGCATTATTATTAATTTTAATTTAAAGCATATTTATATTCTGAGCCAAGGAAAAACATTTATGCATTCCTGCACAAAATGAGTAGTCTATACCATATTAAAACTTTTGGGGGCCTGGGCATGGTGGCTCATGCCTGTAACCTCATAGCTTCGGGAACCTGAGGTGGGAGGATCGCTTGAGGCCAGGAGTTCGTGACCCACCTGGGCAAATAGCGAGACCCCATCTCTACAAAAAACTTAAGAAAAAAAATAGCTGGGTGTGGTGGTGTATACCTGTGATCTCGGCTACTCTGGAGGCTGAGGCAGGAGGACCGCTTGAGCCCGGGAGTTAGAGGTTATAGTGAGCTATGATCATGCCACTGCATTCCTACCTGGGCAACAGAGCCAGACCCTGTCTTTAAGAAAATTAAAATTAAAATTAAAAAATAAAAAAAATGGCAAAGCAGAAGGGAAAAAACCTACTCTGCTGCAAGGTATTATGATCACCATAACCACCTTTGAAATGTTTTCTTAAAAAAAGTTTTCATATATGTACAAGGCAACACTGAATACATTTCATTGTCATTGGCTAAAACACATTTTTGAGAAGTAAAATTTACTTTTGAAAGTTTAATTAGATGGATTGTATCAACCAATGCTTAATTTAGAAGCCTACATTAAACAACCAGTGTTGGATTAATATTTGAAACACTAACTCTTGCCCCCTTATTCCATTTTTATCTTTAGACCCAACCAAAACCCGAAAAATCAAGACAGTTGTGCAGGAGATGGTGAATGGTGAGGTGGTCTCATCTCAAGTTCAGGAAATTGAAGAACTAATGTAAAATTTCACAAGATCTGCCCCATGATTGGTTCCTTAGGAACAAGAAATTTACAAGTAGAAATTATTCCTTTCAGAGTAACATGCTGTATTACTTCAATCCCTATTTTTGTCTGTTCCATTTTCTTTGGATTCCCTATTCACATTGAATCCTTTTTGCCCTTCTGAAACAATATTCAGTCACAAGTCATTTTGGTCATGTTGGTCTTTGTAACAAATCAAAATTACCTTATATCCTTCTGGACCTGGAGTAGTCTTTTAACGAACTTTCTTCTGGTAACCCGGAATATTTTTTAATCATAGAGCTTTAATCAAGTAGTATTGTTTTAATAGAGTTAATTGTAATAAAAGATGAATGGTAATAATGTGAAATGTATGCCTTGATTCCAACAAGAATGTCAAGAGCATAGAGAGAAGTTTTTGAAATACTACTAATAAAATAGAGGCTGGGAGTAATGACTCACACCTATAATCCCAGCACTTTGGGAGGCTGAGAGGCAAGATGATTGCTTGAGGCCCGGAGTTCAAGACCAGCCTGGACAACATAGAGAGACCCCCATCTCTACACAACATTAATAATGATAATAATGATAATGTAGATAAAACTGGGATGAAGATGTCAGGGTTTGAGGATTAAGCTAAAAGAAGATTCTTTTAGAAGTTCTGGCCTTTTTATGTAAGCTCATCAAGGTTGTAGCAAAATTATATTGTCTACTACAGCAGTTGAGAGTTGTCCTGTTCATTTTCTAGCACCATCATTCATGCAGTCAAGAAACGCTGAGCCCCTACAGTGTGCCAGGTTGGAGGCTCAGTGATGAATATGATATGGTCCTTGCCTTGAGGAGCTCATGGTTGAGGGCAGAGATAAACACCTACCAAGAATGTTGATACAGTGAGATCTGTTGAATAGAAGTTCAAAGGGCTGGGCACCATGGCTCACGCCCGTAATCCCAGCACTTTGGGAGGCTGAGGCGGGCAGATCATGAGCTCAAGAGATCAAGACCATCCTGGCCAACATGGTGAAACCCCATCTTAACTAAAAATACAAAAATTAGCCGGGTGCAGTTGCAGGTGGCTGTAATCCCAGCTACTCAGGAGGCTGAGGCAGGCGAATCACTTGAACCCGGGAGGCGAAGGTTGCAGTGAGCCAAGATTGCACCACTGCACTCCAGCATGGCAATAGAGTGAGACTCTGTCTCAAAAAAAAAAAAAGCAAAAAAAAGAAAACAAACAGAACTTCGAAGGACACATGGAAGAAGTGAACAATTTTCCAGGAGGGGCAATGAAATGCTACATAAAGAAATCATCCAGGTAGACGAGGGAGAAAGGCAACAGGGCAAATACATGTGAAAAGACAGAGGGTGTGAACAAACATGGTTCTGCTCTCCTTTCTCCTAGCTGGCAGCAGTGAGGCCCAGGGTGGGGTCCCCACTGGGGCAGGTCAGACCCACAAGTCAGTAACAAAAATCATGTTCTGCATTAGGGAAAAAGGCAGCCAAAGTCTCAGCCTGAGTAGATGGTGGTTCAACATGGGTTGCCAAATTCAAAACCCTAAAAGGAAAATGGGCAAAATTCAATGATTAAGAGCCTGGCCTCTAACATCACACTGGGTTCAATTTCCGGCTCTGCTACTTAATAACAAGTAATTTAACCTCTGTGTTCCTCAGTTTCTTAAAGTGGAAATGATAGCAATGACTGCACCTGCTTCATGGCACGGGTTTTGTGAAGATGAAATGAGGTCGTGTACCTAAAGCACTAGGAACCTGGAAACTATTGGCACCTAGAAAGTACTCAATATTTGTGTCTTATTATTATTTACTGTATGAAACCAAAGTGGGATGAAGAAACAAGGAGACATGGTGAATAAGGAGTGTCAAAGAAGCAGAAGGGAGAGGGAGGAGTTGTGTTAGACAAGAGGAATTCCAGAGCTGAGTCCAAAGGCCAATGGCTAGTCAGCCAACTTAAGCTGATTTGCTTCAGTATGCAGCTTTTCCTTTTAATATCATTTATATGGCCAGATGCAGTGGCTCACGTCTGTAATCCCAGCACTTTGGGAGGCCAATATGGGCAGATTGCTTGGGCCCAGGAATTCAAGACCAGCCTGGACAACATGGTAAAACTCTGTCTCTACAAAAAAAATTTAAAAAATAAAAAAAAATTAGTCGGGTGTGGGGGTGCACACCTGTAGTCCCAGCTACTTGGGAGGCTGAGGTGGAAGGATTACCTGAGCCTGGGAAGGTCAAGAATGCAGTGAGCTGTTATCGTGCCACTGCACTCCAGCCTGGGCAACAGAGTAAGACCCTGTCTCAAAAAAAAGAAAAGAAAAAAATATTTTTAATGGTTTCAGATCCTCCACTCATCTCACTTTATTATACGCTCAGCTCTCTTTGTCTAGCCTTCACCTTCCAGCACACATCCTAGGGTAACCTTTACCTTTCAGACTCAAAAGGATTTTATCAAGGCCTCTGAACAAGGTCCACAGCCCCCAAGTAATAAATAAAGGATTCTACTTCCCTGGTGCTCAAAAGTGTCTGCAAATAGTTACTGCTTTAAATAACATCTGTTTTCCTTACAACTACATAAGAATGGTGTGAGACTCAAAGGGGAAAGGATTTTGCACAAGTATAAATGCAAGGGTCATTTATTAGCTAGTACCATAGTTTCTCAGCATTCCCTTCTCTTGGAAATTTTTTACCACAAAGCTCCCAGAGCCATCACTCTGTAGGCAGCTTTTTCTCAGACTTCTGTGACTGAATGTTGGCTCAATCCTCTTGTCTTTTCTCTATACTCCCTCCCCAGGTAACCTCATCTGATCCCTCCCCAGCCTCTCCTCCCTGATCTTATCCCATGGGTTTTGTTTGTTTGTTTGAGAGGGAGTCTCGCTCTGTTGCCCAGGCTGGAGTACAATGGTGTAATCTTGGCTCACTGCAACCTCCACCTCCCAGGTTCAAGCGATTCTTCTGCCTCAGCCTCCTGAGTAGCTGGGGCTATAGGCATACACCACCACGCCCAGCTAATTTTTGTAATTTTGGTAGAGACAGGGTTTTGCCATGTTGGCCAGGATGGTCTCCATCTCTTGACCTCATGATCTGCCCGCCTCGGCCTCCCAAAGTGCTGGGATTACAGGTGTGAGCCACCGCACCCAGCCAATCCCATGGTTTTAAATAGCACCCACATATTGGTGACTTGTGGCAGCCTCCAGGTTGGTGCCAGTGATCCCTGCCTCCTGGTCTTCATTCCCTTGTGTAGTTCCTTCTCACAATGAACGAGGAGCAGATTTATTGAAGAAGTGACAGTATATGACCTCCAAAGATAGATCACAAAGGCCTTTCAGTTCTTCCTTGGTCTCCTGGACTATATGCTCTTGGGGAAGTCAGCTACCGGCAGGGTTATATCGTGGGGGAAAAAACTATCTGAAAAAAATTCGTGATTTCACAAAATTTCCCATTGAAGTTCCAATGGCTAGGATTTCATGGCACAGCCAGCAAGACCCAAATAATAGTCCTTTTCTGATACTATCTTGGCCAAAATATCCTATAAGTCTTCACTTGGCAAAGGAAGCATTACATTTCTTATTATGTAACTTCACTTTGCCCTGTTCTCACTGACAAGAAATGCAACTAGCACAGCATCTATCAGTCCCTTCGGGCGGCTAGAACAAAATACCTCGGACCGCGTGGCTTAAAAATGAGAGAAACTTATTTCTCACAGTTCTGGAGGCAGCTTCACTGTCTGATAAGGACCCGCTTTCTGGATCATACACAGCTTCTCGATATATCCTCACATGGCAGAAGGGACAAAGCAATGCCCCAGGGCCTCATTTATAAGGACAATAATCCCCTTCGCCAGGGCTCCACCCTCATGACCTAATCCACTCTCGAAAACCCCACCTCCTAATACTGGGTCATTGGTGATTAGGTCTCAACATACAAATATGGGGGGACAAAAACTTTCAGACCATAGCAGCATCCTTATCATGAGAGTCTATCCCTCATTCACTAGGCCACAAGCCCTAATTCAACACAGATGTGAGAGGTCCCTTTGGACTCGGCAAGTAATGAATTGCAGAAGTGGAAGGTCTGTCTTTAAAGAAAAGAACTCCTAAGAAAAAAAAACTGAATAAAGAATCCTATAGCAAAAGACAAGTACATTGTTTATGATTATCCTAAAATCTAAAATTTTACAAATTTAAATTTTTACTTTGATATGCATATGTTGTGTGTAAAAGCTAGTGGAAGGTCTGGAAAATACTGTATATATACTGAACTGTTATAGTAGTTATCTCTTGGGGATTAGCAAGGGGTTTGAAGAATACCTTTATTAAAATGTTTAACAAACAGCATATATGACTCTGATAATCAGAAAAAAAAATAAATGTTATTCTCCCAAACAAATGGCTTTGCAAATGGGTCACAGCAGGAAGGAACCACCTAGAAAAACAACCACGTAGAAAAACAAAGCCAAAGCTTTATTTCTTTAGGCTTTGTAAGAGTGCCATCTTCTGGAGTCTCAAGAAATGAACTTTAAAATAAACTAACCTGGCTGGGCGCGGTGGCTCATGCCTGTAATCCCAGCACTTTGGGAGGCCAAGGCAGGTGGGTCACTTGAGGTCAGGAGTTCGAGACCAGCCTGGCTAACATGGCGAAACCCTATCTCTACTAAAAATACAAAAATTAGCCAGGAGTGGTGGCGTGCGCCTGTAGTCCCAGCTACTAGGGAGGCTGAGGCAGGAGAATAGCTTGAACCCAGGAGGCGGAGGTTGCAGTGAGCCAAGATCACACCACTGCACTCCAGCCTGGGCAACAGAGCAAGATTCCGTCTCAAAAAATAAAATAAAATAAAATAAAAATAAGCTAAGCCTGTGTGTTCAAGCCACTTGAGATGTATTGATACTAGAAGGTTTATCTTTTAAAACAAGAAAGAAGAAAAAAAGCAAACCTTTTACAACGATCAACTTAGCAAATTAAAATTGTCTTATTTAACTAATAATTAGTTTCCAAAAAGTTCACCAGTAAGGAGGCAGTTCTACAAGGCATAAAGTGAAAAAGAAAGTTAGCAATTATTTAGAGTTAAGAAAACCAGCCAATCAATAACTACTCAGGCTTTAAAAACATACTCAAATATCAAATGAAAATGAAATTCTTAATCATATAGCTGAGTAAATGATTTTTTTATGGGGTAGTAAATGTTTCTTAAATCTTGGAACTGAATCCAAGATTGTGCTGAGCTAAAGAAACCAGACACAAAAGAATACATACTGTATGATTCCATTTATATGAAACTTTCAGAAAGATAAAATCTCATCTATAGTGACAGAAATAAGCTCAGTGGTCACCTGAGCTGAAAGGTGTGGGAGGAGTGAGAATTAACTGGTTAACCTGGAAGGGGCACCTGAGAACCTTTGGGACCGATGGAAGTGTTCCGTATCTTGACTGTGGTGATGGGTCCATTTAGCAAGGCTCTTCAAACTGCACATTTAAAACGAATATATTTCATTGTAAGTAAATATTAACTCAATAGTCAATTTTAAAATAATAATTGAATATTCTTTCTTCAGATGATACTGTCCACAGGCGCAGAGAGGCCATGTAGGATCGTCAAAGGTGTCCTAGGGCAAGCTGGCTCTTAATCACTGATCAGTAAATATTCAGGAATTTTCCAAGCTGGCTATTAAACCATGGGCAGCTTGAAATTGGCCATGATGGGAGTATTTACACAAATGGAACTTGGGCTTTTAAAATGTATTTCCCAGAAAACTGTTTTACACCAGTACACCACTGAGCATAGAGGTTAAAAGCACAGTTCAAAGGCCTGAGTTTGGGTCCCAGCTCTGGCACTTTCTAATGGTTTTACTTACCTCTCTGTTCCATAGTTCTCTGTTCCCTAAAATCAAGGCAAAAAAGGATACCTGCTTCACGCCCTATTATGAGAATTCTATGGGTCAATTCACACTTGGCATATAGTAAGCACTAAATATTACCTGCTATTATTATGCAAAGAAAAAAAGTCTCTCTACAACTAAAGAAATGAACTGGTTTACATATTTCCCCCAGACATATTTATTCTTTTTCTTCCCTTCATGCACAATCCTAAATTATTCCACTTTTGTAAAAAAAAAAAGTGCACTTTTCTCACCCAACATATGGGGAGGGGGGAATAATATTTATCTTCCCTCTATCACAAGTTGTGAGCATCAAATAAGCCAACTTCTGTGAAGGAGCTTAACAAGCCATAAAGCACTTTGAAACTATAAGATGTGCTTTCTTCAGAGATGGGGTCGCTCTCTGTCACCCAGGCTGTAGTGCAATGGTGTGCTCATAGCTCACTGCAGCCTCAAATTCCTGGGCTCAAGTGATCCTCCCACCTCAGACTACTGCCATTTTAGTCAAATGTCAGATGCCTGATGAAAGGTGCAAACCACGGTGCCTGTCTAAAATGCTAATATTAATGTAGCTGCTCAAATTGAAGGGGAGGATTCTACAACTAAATACAGAGTATATAAAATAAATTAAGAAAAACTGGGGCTGGGAGCAGTGGCTCACGCCTATAATCCCAGAACTTTGGGAGGCCGAAGCGGGCAGATCATGAGGTCAGGAGATTGAGACCATCCTGGCTAACACAGAGAAACCCTGTCTCTACTAAAAATACAGAAAATTATCCGGGCGTGGTGGCGGGCACCTGTAGTCCCAGCTACTTGGGAGGCTGAGGCGGGAGAATGGTGTGAACCCGGGAGGCAGAGCTTGCAGTGAGCTGAGATCGCACCACTGCATTCCAGCCTGGGCGACAGAGTGAGACTCCGTCTCAAAAAAAGCTTAGCATTCTTGGGAATTGTCATGCATGATTTTAGGGTTTATTTCTTAAATTAGCATAATATAGCAGAATTATAAATAAATGCAATGCTTTACACACATGCAATAAATTGTTTGCAAAACTCAGAATAGATATTTTAACTTTATAGACTGTAAAAACATGAGCATCAAGCTTTTTCAGGAAAAAAATTCTGCATACTACTCTTCTTTAGAATTAAATTCATTGCGAATTCTAGTTGCTAAAATATGTCATTGTTTTTTCACTATGTACATATTCTTAATGAAATGCAACTCTTCTTCAAAATGATGGAACAAATACGCAATTTAGAAGCAGACCTGTAAATAAATCACACTGATAAAACAGTCCACAGACAGCAGTGGGCTCTAATAGAAGCCATTTAGATGGTATTTCAGGCTTTCTCAGTGAGTCATTATCTTACTCAGAACAAGTTACTCAACTTGAGATGACTCACTTTGTACAAAAAGACAACAATAATATCACATATAATCACATTAGCCCGGCATTTTGAAATCTTTAAAAACACCGTAAACACACGACGCTATGACCTTGGTTGGTAAGAATATGGTCATTTTAGTTACTGACTTGCACTTATTGATCTCCTGAAGTTATACATACACTACTAAGTTTCTGCTAAGTGTACTCATTTTGAAATATTTCATTTATTTGCAAGTAACATGGGATTTTAAAGAAATCACGTCAGGCTGCAATTTCACGTTTCAAATAAACAGAGCAACAAGTATAACTTTTTTGACAAGTTGCAGTGTAATTTTTATTTTTTATTATTATACTTTAAGTTCTGAGATACATGTGCAGAACGTGCAGATTTGTAACATAGGCATACACGTGCCATGGTGGTTTGCTGCACCCATCAACCCATCATCTACATTAGGTATTTCTCCTTAATGTTATCCCTCCCCTAGTCCCTCACTCCCCGACAGGCCCCGGTGTGTGATGCTCCCCTCCCTGTGTCCACATGTTCTCATTGTTCAACTTCCATTTATGAGTGAGAACATGTGGTGTTTGGTTTTCTCCGCTGGCTTATTTATGTATACAAGTGGGGCATCACATATGCATTTATTTGTGTATTCATTCTGTAGCTGTAATAGGTTCATTGCCTGGATGTTCACAGCAAGTCAATACCCAGAGGCACCAGGTTGCAACAGAGACAGAGGTTTAATGGTAAGGCCAACAAATGAGGAGAAAAGAGAAAACCCCAAATCCATCTTCCCGGGGACTCTGGGGCGAGGGTTTTTAAGAGTTTTGGAGTGAGCCAAAGCATAGAGATTGTTGATTAGTTGAAGAGTACAGGGTGAAGTCCCAGGACAGGGAGAGAAAGAAACTGTACTCTCATGCTCATTTGGTTTGTCTGTGGGAGTCTTTAAATTGGTTGGCGTTAGCAGTTCCACAGTAATTCAGGATCCGTTTAAGCAATTCTTAAACAAAAGCCTCATGGTTCTAACATTAGAATTTCTATCTACAGGAACAATGGGGATGCAAATGGTCAGAATCTAAGGTTATGTGATGTTTAGTTACAAGGAAGTGGGTCAAAGTGCAGCCTGGTTAAAGCTTAATTATAACTACATTTCTGCCCAGAATTCTTAATTCTGTGAGGATGGCTTCAATTCCTTCAACAAGCTTTTATTTAGCACCAACTATATGTAAGACTCTACATAGTCTATTGAAAATAACCTCAGTTTTTATGATCTAAAGGCAAATACATGATAAAGTTTCATACAGTTTTTACATTGTATATTACAATTTACATTGGATAAAAAGTACCTCCCAAGGTGCTTTACGGTGTTTTCACTGGATACCCATTTTAAACAGCCTTATGTGCTGATTCTGGATGATAATTTTAATGTTAAACTTCCCTAGCCTATCTAATATATGACTGAGTAGGCTGACAAATAATAAAATAAATGTTTATCATTTAAAAAATACAAATATATATAATCAGCATCCAATAGAGATAATCCTGGAACAAAAATTAGTACTACAGAATTAGATCCAGGCTAATCAGAATCCAGCAGTGGTGTTATAGGAAAGCACAACAATGAAGTCCTTCTCAGTGTTATTACTCAGAGGCTAGGGGTAAGAAAAAGTCCTTCAGGTGATGTGAAGTTAGGAGAATTTTACTCAGTTCCCCTGTGTGACTATGGAAGGTGTTTTTACAGCTTGCAGAGCTGAAGGAGATAGAACTGAACGCTGGCCAGTGGGAAGACAAGAACTGCTCAAGGGAAAGGAAGGTCTCAGTAGGGAGGAGAACCTGATGAAAGTTTTAGTCATCATTATCATGATTATCTGTCACCTCCAGGGTACACAGGTAACAGTTGCATTAAAGAGGAGATCATTTCTGAGGAGCTAAAGGACAATATAATATTATAACACCAAAGACACAAAGCTGAAGTAGCAGGTTACACAATTATTTGCCAATTTGTCCACAGGGAGACTTTTTAGCTGCACTTTCCAAAGCATTGGCACTCTGAAAACTTAATCATATAAAACTACATTCCCAACATGTAGAATATGTATCATAAAACACTTGCTATACACATATATCCAAACATCTTATGTCCTTATGATAATTTATCTCTGAACTAAAAATCTATTTAGGATCACTATGGATCATTTAAATTATGTTTCATTTTGTCAGAAAAAAAAATCAAATAATAAAGCATTATTTTAACTGGCTTTTACCTTTCAGTTAAATTGAACTTTAACTAAACAATCAAAGAAAAATTATTCCTCTATCAATGTTGATCTAAAAATCTTTCAATTGTAGCTTTTTAACTAGGTCAAGCTCCAAGTCTCCTGACCCTAGATTTATTTATTCATTCATTCAACAGATACCTATACATATCCTGGCCATATCTGGTATTTTGCCTCCTCATCCAAGCCACTATTTATGTCTCTCTCCTGGCTGACCACACAGCTTCCACCTGTACCCACCTCTCTTCCACTCTTTCCACCAGAGCTGGGGGGATCATTTTGAAAAAGCTGATCCAGTCACTCCATTGCTTAAAGGCCTTCAAAGGCTTCCTATTGTCCTTGGAATAAAGACCAAAACCCAGCAAGGTATGGCCTGGCCTGGCCCCCTCTACCCTCTTTCAAATCGTGTGCCCTCTCTCCCCCTCTATCTTCTCCAAACCTACTGGTCTTGTTTACTTTATTTTTGTATATATTTAAGATATACAGCATATGAGGTTTTGATATACATATACTGAGTGACAGCAATACTACAGTCAAGTAAATTCTAACGCCATGCTCCTTCCCACTCTGGCAGCTTCTCACAAACTTTCCCTCTTTACCTAGAATGAGCCTCCACCCCCATTTTGGCCTAGTTAACAATCCTAGTCACCAGTTAGGTCCTAACTCAAATGCCCCTCATTAACCAAGTCAGGTTCTCCTATTCTACCTTCTCATACTATACTGTAGTTATCCTTCACAGCTCTTAGCGCAATTTGCAATTATACATTTATTTGTATGAATATTGAAATAATGTCTGGCTCTACCACTGCATTCTCTCTAAGGGCAGCGGCCATGTCTGTTTTGCCCTCCACTGTAGCCCTGGCATCTAGCACAGTGCATAAAACAGCACATATACCCTACTGCATAGGAGACAATCAATACTTGTTGAATACCTGTGCACAGAATTACGTACAAATGCTAGAATATTCACTCAGTAAAAGCTGGAATAATGCCTGTATTACTCTCCTGGGCTCAAGCAATCTGTCCACCTCAGCCTCCCAAAGTTCTTGGATTACAGGTATAAGCCACTGTGCTTGACCACCTGTATTACTCTCTAGGTACCATTAAAAGCACTCAATAAACACTGGTTGCACAAACATTGAATGGTGGCGATATATTTCTTCTATTATTTTCTTGAAATAGTCATTGAATTTTTATCCACTGATTTATTAACTCTAAATTTTCCAACACTTATCTTTGGAAAGACTGAATGAACAAACCCTACCTTATTAAGGCGCAGAAGCTAAGGAGTGTCCATCACAAAGGAAGCAAAGAGGATGGTTTGCATAGATTCCATTTGAATCTATTTGTTTTGGTTACTCTATTTAAAATATGCTTGCGTCATATGAAATT